>NC_000012.12:27237345-27390040 GCF_000001405.40 Homo sapiens | reverse complement strand
TTGAAATTTATCTCCTAACATTTTCTGACCATCTATTATTGAGAAAGGAAACAGTTTTTTAAAGCAATGGCATGATTGTACAGTAAACCCTGAAGTGAAATATACCCAAAAAATGTATTTGTCAAGCAATCACATTTTGATAACTTACAGACATTTGCAATTTATCTTTCTTTTTTCCTCAAATGGGGAAGAACAAAGTTAATTTAAGTGAAATGAAATAAAAATTAAATTAAAAAATGAAAAAAACCTTAACTATTACAGGAATCAATTGTTTTATATTTTACATAATTATTTGGTACTAGGCATTTTCAGAGAAGAAAAAAATACTTATACTTCCCAAACACAATTATACAAGGTCTTTCATACAGAAAAGACCTAATCCATATAAAAAAGAGAGTAATTGTCTTTTAGCATATAGCTAAATAATGGGAACTTCAGCAATTTTTTATCCAAATGATACTTTCTTGTAAAGATTTTATTTGCATATGAAAAATAGCAAATATGAAGCACTCATATTTTCCCCAAAGCATCTTCATATCAATGAATTTGTGTTTGTATATGTCTGTATGAATATAGGAATTTTCTATATAGCTATATATATTTATTAAGTATGATGTAAAGTTTACAAAACAATTCTCTCTTGATAAAAGCTTAGTTAGCTGTTTTAAAAACACTGTGTAGCTAAACTTTTAGGTGATCATTACATTTACATAAAATAATAAGCATGCGGAAATGGACACTTACTTTTGGCATCTATTAGCTTTTCTCTTGGTGAAATATCAAAAGAAGAAAGTTGTTCCTTTACTTTGGCAACATCTTTTGGATGTAAGAAGTCAAATAAGCTTTGTCCAGTCAAACTAGCCTATTCATAAGGTAGACATTCATTTAAAATCAGTACCATGCTTTTTCTACATTTCTTGATGCATACAATAAATGTTCTTTTTTGATTTTTGATTGATTTTTCTCAAGCTCAAAGATATGTCCACGACACTGTGTGACATGAACTTAATGTTCAAAGCAGGGTGATACTTGTAGACAGAAAAAAATACATGCGTATAGAACCATCCCTGGATATACACAAACCATATACAAACACCAATTGCTAGTATTCTGCTAAATCTTGTAACTCTTGTTAACATGTTACTTGTAAATGATTGTGATTTACTTTGAACTTTTTTTGTCCTTGTTAAAAAAAAGAGATTACATCATAGTATAATATAGAAATCACAGAATATCTGTGACTTTATCAGATATTTACCATACAGTTTAAAAAATTACCATACTATTGATAGGTAAAATCCAACCCAGAATACCTCTCACTTCCCATTCCACCACTCCCAAAAGGCACAGCATCCCCAGGTCTATGCCTTTGCTGATACAGTCCCACCCCTCAGAATTCATCACCCCTTCCCTATCCCTTGGCCACTCCAGCCAAATTGCCTTTGACTCCCTAGACTTCCGGGACTCCCTTCTCCCAGGTTGAAATGTTTCCTCCCCTTCTCTACACCTTCCTTCTGACAAGCCTGGCAGACATCCTACTTCATGTGTGACGCCTTCCTGACCCACAGTGGCCACCCCTCTTCTGAATTCCTGTATTACCCAAGCAAACATTCCTATAGACAACAGGACTAACGGACCAGCCGATATAAGCAGGCTGAATTGTTTGGCGGTTATATGTTTCATTCTAAAAAAAACTGTGTGGTTAATATAAGTCTATATCCAGAACTCTCTAGGGCAGACCAAGTTTCTGAATCTGAAAAGCTGAGGACTAAATCCTGAATCATGGGAATCCCTACATGCCCCTGAGCAGCCAGTAAGTCTCTTAATAGCCTCTTCTATGCAAAGTCAGTGCCCAGTAGGACTGGATTCCATGTCACTAACTTGAAACTTAAGTGGTACCCTAAACTGTCAGTTACCTGTGTGTGTGTGTGTGTGTGCGTGCATGTGTGTGTGCATGTGTGGGTGTGTTTTCCATCTCCAGTTAGAACGTGGAATCATGAGGTTTGTGCCCCCAGCTATAACCAGCTGAAGGTTTCATCGGTTTTCAATCCTCCTGTACACAGGCTCATAATATTCCCTTATTTCTGTTATTTAACTCATTATCTCTGAACACCCTTATAATCTAATGTGAGTTATTAAAAAACAGTGCTGCAGTCTATCGGATTTCTAGTGCTAGTTTATTCACTTACTTGGGTTAGTTTCAATGCTATAATTTTTGAGTAGCTAGTTTCCATGAAATGGTGTTCAGTAATAAGGAGGTGAAGTACTAAACTAGTTAAATGAAAGATGTATTTCAGAGAGTGTTGCCAGAGATTAGATCAAAGGCTGTCATGCAATGATTATAACTTAATAATTAACCATAAAGTGTCTCTTGGAGGGAACAGAGAAGGGTGACTAACACTTTTCAGACACTCTTAAATATGACACCTCATTTAGTCTTTACATCTTGAGAGACAGGTATAATCATTTTGACTTTTTACATAGGAAGAAGCTGAGGCTCAGTAAAATTAAGTAACTTGCTGAAGGTCAGGAAGGGAACGCAATCAGTCATAAAGATCCTTACTCTTTCCACACAGCTTTCCATCTCTCTTGGAGTTCTAACTTAGCAGAATCTAATCCCATATCCCAGTGGGGAGAAGGTGTTCAGAAAAAGAGCTTAAAAATATGTGTTTGTTCAAAAAATTAAACATTGTATGGAAAATATCCTCATTTTTGGATACCTGATCATAATTAAGTATTTTGGAGACTGACTTAGAAACGAAGAGAATTTTTCCTCTTTCACATCCAACCACAAATAAGAAGCCTTCTGCAGTCTAGGATTTAAAAAAAAAGTGAATATTTTAAAATATTGTCTGTCTCTTATACACACGCACACACACACACACATTCAGATTCTGAGGAAATTACTGTGGCAATAAAACTAACAGAGTAGTCATGGAGCTAGTAAAATTAATTTTAAGAAATGTTCTTAAGATGCAAACAGATTTATAAAGAGTGTCAAGTTGAAATCCTATTCTAAATTAATGTTTTGGACATGAAAAGTTTGGCTGCAGAATATTTAGTTGAGACATTTCTTAAAAACTAAAATTAGGCCAGGTGCTGTATATGAGCCTAAATACAGCACTAAATGAGCCTATATCCCAGCACTTTGGGAGGCCGAGGCAGGTGGATCTCTTGAGCTCATGAGTTTGAGACCAGCCTGGGCAACACTGGCGAAACCCTGTCTTGACAAAAAATACAAAAATTGGCCGGGCATGGTGGTGCACGCCTCTAGTCCCAGCTACTGAGGAGGCTGAGACGGGAGGATGGCTTGAGCCCGGGAGGTGGAGGGTGCAGTGAGCCGAGATCGCACCACTGCATTCCAGCCTAGGCAACAGAGCCAGACCTTGTCTCAAAAAATAACAATAAAATAAAATTACCTTTACCAAATTCTACTACACTGCATGCAGAACAACAATTGCCTGTGGATGTGTTGAGGTAGAAGGACAGGGCAGAATGAGGACAGGGAAGCAATGAAGACATTATACTGTACACCTTGTTATAGTTTTTGAATAATAAAAAGGCATCACTCATTCTAAACTAATGTGTCAGCTACTCTCATAAGGTCTACCCAGCAAATCCCATGAAGCAGCCTGCATGGAAGCGGGTACATATGGCACATAGGAAGAGTCTGGCACTCTTGCTGGGCATGCTCTGCAGGGCAGAAGCAGGGTTCCATGAAGGTACGACTGACGAGCATGTACAGATTGGTGAGAAAGCTTCGAAAGCAAATCGTACATTTTGCCACCTTCAAAAATCCTTTTTATCCACACAATATCCTTTCTATCCCTGCCAGAAATGCTATATTTAAATTCAGCTGTTCAAATAAAAGAGTGGCTTTTTTTAATTAAAGGAAAAATGGACAAAAATGTGTATGAAGAATCCTTCTATTTAATTTGACTATGGCTTAAAACCTAGTAGTCACACAGCACATGACCAAGACATTTATCACCTCCGAGGGCATGAGAAGCAAATCACATGATCACAGTTTCCCCTCTAGACCGGTGAATCTGAAAAGCCATGCACAGGAATGATGAGGACGGAAATGTCAAAGCACTAACAACTCTAAGTAAGCAGTGACTGGCCTCCGAGAAGAACAGGATCCTGAGGGAACAGGATGCCAGGCAGACGGCTTTGAAGGAGGTGGTGATCATGGGGGAGTAGATCCTATGTGTGAGAGATGGGTAGTATAAAATGCTTAGCACTGAATACAAGCTTTGCTCCATAGTGTGGAAAGTGCCTATCCTCTGTCTCTACTTTCATTAACACAAACTAGTAATGCATGGCTACTTCTCTATTTTAAACTTCTATATTAAAGGAAATACGGTGTAATATGGAGTCCCATATGTTTAGAACAGGAAGCAAATGGAAGAAAATCTGCCTCCTATTCAAACAGCAATGAAAGCACATACACAACTTAGACAAATATATCTTTAGTTACCTTAAGGATTAAATGTCTGAGCTCATTATCCTGAAGAAATGATGGTCTATAATTACTTCCCACATAAGAATTTGTCAAGCCTAAAAAGAAAGGCATCAAGAGTTATTGGAAATATAGTAGAGAGGGCAAAATGCTTAATGAACATTAGCAATGCTGCTGCTGCTGGTATTTGCTCTTTGGCACATTCTAAGACATTTTCTGTAATCATTTTTTTTTTCATTTTCATTTAATTTAATTATTTATTTTTGAGACAGAGTCTTACTCTGTTGCCCAGGCTGGAGTGCGGTCGCGCAATCTCAGCTCACTGCAACCTCCACCTCCTGAGTTCAAGTGATTCTCGTGCCTCAGCCTCCTGAATAGCTGGGATTATAGGCGCATGCCACCACGCCCAGCTAATTTTTATATTTTTATTAGAGACAAGTTTTCACTATGTTGGCCAGGCTGGTCTTGAACTCCTGGCCTCAAGCAATCCACTCACCTCAGCCTCCCAAAGTGCTGGGATTACAGGAGTGAGCCACTACGCCCAGCTAATCATTTTCTTTCTTCATTATCACTTGATTAAAATTTCTTTCTTTTAGATTGTGAATTCTTGGAACTACTTATTCCTTTATATTCAAATATGCACATTAAGAGCTATATATAAAAACATTATAATAAAATGTACATGAAATAAAATTCAAGGATTGATATGCAGTAGTCCCCCGTTAGCTGTGGTTTCAGTTACCTGTGGTCCACCATGGCCTGCAAACAGGTGAGCACAATACAATAAGATATTTTGAGAGAGCCAAAGACAGAACATATAACATTTTTACAGTATATTGCTATAATTATCCTAGTTTATTATTGATGTTAATCTCTTAATATGCCTGATTTATAAGTTAAACTTTATCATAGGTATATGTGCATAGGAAAAAAGTACTATGCCTAGGGTTCAGCACTACCCACGGTTTCAGGCATCCACCAGGGTCTTGGAATGTATGCCCCTATGGATAAGGGGGGACCACTACAGTTATTTAGATAATGTCTTAGCTAATTAAAATTTATCATATGAGTTACCTTGAATGGGGGTATTCTGGAATTCTAAACAAATGTTACGGATTCATGAGATTTTCCAGTAAGAAAATCCTTTAATGGCAATATAGAGACCTCTATTCTGATAATACACAGATTATTTTAAAAATGTATAAAATATAAATGAAATAATTAATTTTCAGCCCTTAGCACTGAGTTATATTAAAATGAAAGTCTCTAAAGCAGCTGAAGAGCTTGCAAAATGATGAGGAATTATCAGGCCAAAACCAAGGGAAATGTTTGACCTGGGAGGAGTAAGGGAATCCACCAACCCAGATTCGCAAAGCCCTTCATGGCCACAAGGGGGCGTATGACACAGACGACAAAGCCAAGCAAGCCATCCCCAGGGCAAGGATGATTCAGAAGTAAGTCAATTTTCCCTTCCTTATATTCCCCAACCTTCTTGACTCCTATCCCTTCTTCCTGGGTACTGTAAGAGAAGTTGCTTTTGCAGGGGAAAGGTGGGGTAACATCCTTAGACATTTTAACCACACATTGGCCCTCGGACGGATCTGTGGCCCAAACTCACCAATGAACTAAGTGGTGGTGGTGGTGGCAAAGTAAGTGGGCAGGGCAGAAAGACAAAATGCCTCATGCTATGATTCAGTACAGTTTTCTCAGACTCGTAGCACTCTTAAGAGCCTGGCATAGGGAAAAGAAAATCTCTTCTGTTGGAATCTATCTTCATCCTAGGGCTCAGGGAATTCTCCCAATGACTTCTTGCTAATATTACTACACAGCAGCTTGGGAGGGAGCTGAGGAAGGAATGAAGAACGCAGACTCTGAGTGCTAGGTCAGGGAACAGCAGTAAACTGATTTTGAGCAAGATAATGACATTTCAGGTCTGGCCTGCAGCAAGGTTGGCAGAGCATACCAGGCAGAAGTGGGCTGGGAAACCCCGTCGGTGTACATCAGCCATCACAGGCGAGCCCTGACTCGGTGAGTGAGTGGGGATGTGCTCGAGAGAAAATGAGGGCAGTGAGAGCAGCACTGAGGCATGGTAGAGGCTGGCCAGTAAATGCATGCCATGGTGTTCTGCACACTTGTCCACACATTGGCTCTCAGAGTTCCCATGGCAAAAACCAACGAGGCAACATGATCACTTACTTTTTTCACAATGTTCATTGGGTTAAAAAAAAATCAAAATGACAGTAACAATTCCTCTTCCTCTTCTGACCCCATCCCCACCATTTGAACACTGTGCTGTACTCTACATGCATTACTCTTTACTCTTAACAATAGTCCCAGGAGGCAAATGCATCCCTATCTCACAGATGTGAAAACTGAGGATTAGAATGTCAAATAACTTGAGTAAGTCACATAGCTATAAAGGGAGGAAGCCAGGATTTGAACCACAAGGTCTGCCTTCAGGACGCATGCGTGTGAACCACTGTGCTTCACTGCCCCGCCTGGTAATCAGATTGCAGACACAGGACCTCATGCTGCAGAGCAGGGCTACTCTAAATGTGGTCTGCAGACCAATGTCATCAGCAAACTGTGGTGAGATCAAGTGCAGAATTTAAGAAGTATTTAGAGGCTTTTATAAAAACATAACATTGCTGTGACAGCCAAACCCATGATCATTTTTCCATAATTAACTGTATTTTACAATGAACTAGTGGTGGATGGGGGGAACACCTGTTCTTCATCCAGATCGTTTAAAAAGCACTGCTGTAGAGTATAGTGAAAAAAATCACATCACCATCCTTCTGCCTTTAACCTAATTATGCTATGGACCAAAATAACATGATCCACAGGCAGCCCTCTGTTGATCTGGCTTCTAAGTTTTTGCCGAGCAAGTGTGGGGATGCTGTGACAATACCCTGGAATGCAGATCCAGTTGCCTTAAATCATCTTGCTTGTGAGCAGCACTGACCGAAGGATCTGGTCAGACTGCGGGGATGAGTACTTAACCATGTCACTTCTGTTCAGCAGAGCTGAGGCAAAATCTACGCCCTGTTCCAAGGAATCTCCTCTGGACTCACCTCCTCCCTGCTGAGCTTTCACAGCCTCCCCTCTCACTCGAACCACTGCTGTAACATTCATCGCACCAGACTCTGACGATCTCTTCCTAAGTCAGTCTTCCTAGTCAGACCACAAACCCTTAAAGGGCAGAGATCTTGCCTCATTAATTTTTATATTCTCAGCACAGAACAGGAATGCGGTTGATGCTCAGATCATGTTTTGTTGAACTAGTCGACTGATTCATGGCTTTTCCCTTAGGTCTTCCTCCCTTAGGACACTGCTAATGTGAAAATACTCAGCTAATTTCAGGGTTGCAATCAAATGACCTCAGTTGAGCCTGTAAATTTTCATTGCTGAAGGATTTAAGGAAAATATTGCAAGCCTCAGCTGTGGGTAAAAGAGAAGCTTATTTCACAACAGACTGTTATGAAAATAAGATCTCCCATCATGCTCCCAACAGGAAGCACCAGGAGTCTAGGTGAGTGCTGCTCTCCTCTTAGCCACCTTAACTTGACTTGACCATACCTTGCATGGTGCCCAGATAATTTCCATTACCCTGAAATATATTTTCCTTTTCCTGGCAGTGTTTGAGATCTAAACTAAGACCCTTGGTCATCCTTTGCTCACTCCCTTTTTATGATTTTTGAGCCAAATTTCACTATAATCTTCTAGATCTTTACAAATCTGAACTTGCAGAGTCTCCTCTGGAGTCTTCAGCTTGCTGCTTGGCCAGGTCTTATCTTTTCAGTGCAAATTTACATCATCGGCATTGGTAAATCGAAAACTCTATTCCACTTCACCCAAGTTGGACTGGGGCTATTCCCAAAACAGGGGTGATTTCTACCGCACATGTTGACATGGTTTGGCTCTGTGTCCCCGCCCAAATCTCATGTCGAATAATAATCCCCAGTGCTGGAGGTGGGGCCTGGTGGGAGGTGACTGGATCATGCTTGTGGATTTTCCCCTTGATACTGTGTCACAATAGTGAGTTCTCATGAGATCTGGTTGTTGAAAGTGTGTGGCACCTCCCCTACCCTCTCTTGGTCCTGCTCCTGCCATGTAAGATGCCGGCTCCCACTTTGCCTTCTGCCATGAGTGAAAGCTCCCTGAGGCCTCCCCAGAAGCAGAAGCCACCATGCTTCCTGCACAGCCTGTGGAACCGGGAGCCAATTAAACTTCTTTTCATTATAAATTACCCAGTCTCAGGTATTCCTTCATAGCAATGCAAGAATGGACTAATACACAGGTACACATATACATTTATTACACTTTGATTTAAAATTCAAGCTCAAGTTGGGGAATTGCTAAAGCCAGAAATGATCACCCACACACCAAGAGGCAGTGGCAAGGACCTCCTTCCCCCAGTGTCTCACATATTTGAGGATACTCTGAATGGCAACATGTGATGCATTATAAGGTACTACTCGTAAATCTGAATGAAGCTTTAAGAGAAACTGCAGAGTTTAAGGAAGTTTTCTTTTTGAAGGATAGAAATCTCTCAATAACTTAATAATTAATACTATACTTCAGAACTTTTTTTTTTTTCTGAGACAGGCTGTCACCCAGGCTGGAGTGCAGTGGCATGATTACTGCTCACTGCAACCTCCACCTCCCAGGCTCAAGCGATCCTCCCACCTCAGCCTCCCAGGTAGCTGGGACTACAAGCACGCAAGACCACACTTGGCTAATTTTTGCATTTTTTTGCCCAGGCTTGTTTCGAAATCTGGACTCAAGCCATCCGCCCACCTCAGCCTCCCAAAGTACGGGGATTACAAGCATGAGCCACCACGCCCAGCTCAACTTCAGAACTTCTAAAGAATTGAGAGGTATGAAAGGCAGGTGATATTCTCTTCATAATATATGTGAAGAAGAAATGTAAATACCTTTCAAGGTTGTATAGTGAGCTTGAGAAAAAGCTTTTATCAGAACCAAGTTTTCTGACATCCAATTCAGTATTCTCTCCACATACAGACTATAGACAAATGCCAGTGAATACCTCTAAAGCTGAAAGACACATCTGGATAGAACCTCAACAGCTGACAGCAAAGCGAACCAATCAGAGACCTCAGTGACAGAGCAGATTTCACTTATCGAAGTGTGGAAGCCATCGTCAAACTCACCTTTTAAAGATCTCAAGTGTTGAACAGCCATTCTTAAAACTGTAAGTTTGTCCAGTTTACGCGCCATGGGGTTGCACTGAGGGATCATTGCAGACAGTTCTTCAATCAGGTTATTCATTTTATCTCTCCTCCGCTTTTCAGTTTGGCTATGAGCTTCTCTAAGAGGGAAAAGGAACTTCCTTTATATTTAACATTCAGCAGACCCCCAGTCACCCCCGTGTTGCTCACTGGAGCAGATGCTGAGCCCAGCAGGCACACACTGTTCTTCCTCCCCACTTGGGCCCTGCAGTTGTCAGTGAGGGAAGAGGAAAGCGCTGCTGAGACCAGGAACAGCATTCATAAAACTCGCTGCCCTTGGTCAGTCCCTCCCTACCTCATTTTCTGAAATATTTAAAAACAAAGACATCTGTCTGAGAGCCCAGGTGGTTTTTCCACCTGTTTCCAATATTAGAGAAGAGATGGGTGCCCTTCTGTTCAAAGCTAACTATTCTCTGGTATTTGCATAAATAGTTGTCAGCATCTTAACCTCATTATTTTTATAGCTCCTTATCATGGGTCTATAAATGTGCTCAAGTATCTTCCCCCTGAAAAAAAAAACCCTTTCACTAATTCTAGTTGTTTTTTGTTCTTGCTACCGTCTTCCCCCCTCAGCAAACTCCCTGAAAGAGTGCAATTTCCACTCAATCTTTCATTTCCCAGGCATCTGTCCATCTGTAACATTAACCTTCCACAACCCCTGCCCCACTAAAACTGTCCCAGCGAAGATCCTCCTTCTCTCTTGCGATCTCTTGCTGATCCCTGCCTTGAATCTGACACTGCTGACACTTCTCATTCTCCCCTGGTCTCCACAGCCTCTCTGCCTCCTGGTCCTCCTCCACTCTCCCTGCTCGGTTCAGTCCCCTCGTCTCCTCACCCAGCTCTTACTTGATCCTTAAATACTGGTGTGCACTAAGATTCCCTGCTTAGCACCGCTCTCTCCTCACTCTTTATTCACCCTGAGATCTCATTCCCTCACAAGGCTTTACAGCTACTCATAAGCTATTTGTTATTATAACCCTATCTCATTCATACTTCACTCAGTTCCTGACCTTTGGAACTAGAATTATAAACCTAAATGATTCTCAAGAAATCTAAAATTCAAGAAACCCCAAACTGCATGCATTCTCTGCGATGTACCCCCATTTTCAATTCTTCCTGTACTACTCCTGATTTATAGGGTTTATCTTCCTTCTATAGGGTTTATCTTGGTAGGTAACACAACTAGACTCAATCTAGACTAAGCTTGTCCAAACTGTGCTCCAGGATGGCTTTGAATGCAGCCCAACACAAATTCATAAACTTTCCAAAAACATTATGAGATTTTTTTTTTTTAGCTCACTAGCTATCATTAGTGTTAGTGTATTTTATGTGTGGCCCAAGACAATTTTTCTTCTTCCAACGTGACCCAGGGAAACCAAACGATTGGATACCCCTGGTTTAGACCCTTCCTCTTCACCCTAAAAAGCCAAAGAATCACAAACTCCTGTCAATTCTAGATCTTAAAATATTTCTTAAATATGTCTTCTCTTCCTCTCCATCCCCTCTGTCATCATCTTAATTTAGGCTCATTGCATTACCCCAAAACCTTTTAAACTGCTGTTCCTTCCTCTCCTAGTCTATTCTATGACTTCCAAAATTATGTAGTAAAACAAATCCAGTCACCTAATCCCCTTGCATAAAACTATTCACTGCATTTCCACTGCCCAAGAGGACTAGCCAGATTCCCTAATTATAGGCCAGGGTTCTCCCTGATCTGCCTCATGTCTTCATCTCCAGTTTCTCTCTTCAAGACTTTCCCCGACAGCTCCAAATGTTCCACAGCAGCAACGCCTGAAGACTTGCTCATCCTCACACATGCCATACCGTCTCACATCTCCTCCATGCCTTGCTCTTTACCAGGCTTACAAAGTCCTTTCTGACTATACTGTTGGAGAAATCCTATTCTTTCTTCAAAATCCAACTCAGTTATTCTTCTGGGAAGCTTTCTCTGACTACTACATGATTAATCACTGCTCTCTCTAAGCTACCTCAGTACCTTTCATACCACTACCCTTATTTCATCAAATCTAAGAGCCACCAATTGTAAGACGCACTATTATTTAAAGCATCACAAGAGAAAGAAATGCTGCCAATTGACAGGAAGATGCCACTGATGATAAGAAATTTCCACAGAAGATAAAACGTAGAGGAGAAAAGTGTATCTTAGATTTCAAGAATTACATGATTTTACCTGTCACACTTTGCTGTAAATCCCTCTCCTACAACACACAGCAACTCCAGAATTTCTCTATTAGAATAGTTTAGGGGCAATCTGATGAGAAAGAGGGTAAGTGGGAGACTTCCCTGATCTGTTTTTATAAAGACTTTAAATTGGATAAAAGAAAGTGTAATTTTTCCAGATAAGAGTAGGGAGGTGGGTAGGGAGGAACACCGATGAAGGCTGTGGGAGCTACCACACCCCCTGCCCCAACCATTCACCCTCGGCAATGACACTCCTGGAACAAAATACACACTGTTGGGCGAAGTGGATAGGATTCAGATTAAATTGTATTCACATAAAATTCAGTTATCTACTCATACTTTGTTCTATTTGTGAGCAATTAGATTTTTTTCTTTATCTTTTTAAAGACAAGGTCTCACTCTGTTGCCCAGGTTGCAGTGCAGTTGTATGATCATAGCTCACTGCAGCCTCAAACTTCTGGGCTCAAATGATTATTCTGCCTCTGCCTTCCAAGGAGCTGGGATTACAGAGCAATTTGATTAAAATTAAAATGTTATGATTAAAAGAATATTGTAGTTACACTCTCACTAGAAGGATCATCTCTTCTAACAGTATTCCCCATCAGCATGGACAGCAGCGATGGATAGAGACTCCTGACTCCAGGATGTACAGCAGAGGAAGGGGTGCTCTCTCTGAGCCAGGATCTGGAGAGAGATGAGAGCAGGGTGGGAGAAAGCCCACTGTGGAGAAGGTCAATGATGATGCTGGGAGCCAGGAAACCCAGGGCAAGGTGAAAGAACCAATGTCTGAATAAAGTACTTTACTTGAAAGAGCTACACCCGAAAAGGTTTCTGGAGGCTTTCATTAAGGAAAGGCATATTTATCCAGAGGCTAGCTCTCTGCTTAATACTTCATCAGAGCTCTGGCTCCTAATTCTGTGTACAGTTACTGCCATGTTGAACCATGGCAGTATTTTGTAGAATCCTATCAGAAAACAAAATAAGTGGAGAAAAAGCAAAACTCTGATAGGCGATGTTGCCAGATGTAGAAAAATATTTTATTGTTGTTGTTGAAAAAATATGTTGAAATAATTGACAAAGAACTCATGAGGATGGGTTTCTTTTTTTTTTTTTTTTTTTTTTTTGAGACGGAGTTTTGCTCTGTCGCCCAGGCTGGAGTGCAGTGGCGCGATTTCGGCTCACTGCAAGCTCTGCCTCCCGAGTTCACGCCATTCTCCTGCCTCAGTCCCCCCGAGTAGCTGGGACTACAGGTGCCCACCACCACGCCCGGCTAATTTTTTGTATTTTTAGTAGAGACGGGGTTTCACCGTGTTAGCCAGGATGGTCTCGATCTCCTGAACTCGTGATCCACCTGCCTCGGCCTCCCAAAGTGCTGGGATTACAGGTGTAAGCCACTGCGCCAGGCCGAGGATGGGTTTCTAACAGTCAGATGCCCCTCATAAGTAACTGATTTGTTTAAGTCATTGATCAATTTTTCTTTAGTGCTTGAAGAAAATAATAGGTTTTTTTTTAAGCTATTCTAAGAGAAAGTTAAAGGCATGAAAGCCAAAATGTTATCCAAGTAGACAGAAAAGCAAGACATCAGGTGCCTGATAACATTGCTTCTCAGAGCATAACAAGAGAGAAAAGCCTCATCTTCAAGCCCTTCTACCTTGGTGTCACCTTTGCCTTAGGCTACAGGCTTGCCTTTGTGTACCTTTCCACTCACCATGTACCATCTCAACAAGTCAATTGTACCTGAAGGCCTTCATTTTAACTTGGTGTTCACCATCTTCCACTCTACAAAAAAGCAGGATAAAATATCAAACTACATGAAGTACCTTTTCTGTAGTTCTTGATAGAGAAATAGATGTGAGATTAAGTCCAATCAATCATCCTAATTCCTATAAAATCCTTAGCTGTAAATGCTCCCTTGAGCACCTAATGACCTGAAATGATTCTTACTGTCTACATGAACCATTCTCCTCCTAACGCTGACAGGCAACACCATTCCCATAAGGATAACAAAAGTTATGTTAACTGACAGTGAACAATAATTAGTGTGCTACTTACATAATTAGATATGATCTCATGACAAACTTAAGCAAGAATAAGATTTTCATAGAATTAACATTAAAGTTATTAACATCATTGATGGCTTAACCAAAAACTTTATGATAGCTGTATTAAAACAGCCTGAAAATGGATTAAGAATCCCAGACCTTTAATCAAAAGGAATTTATTTTGCCTAAAAATCCACCTGGATGGTAACCAATATTGAAAACTGGAAACTCTTACCAATAATATTAATTTTCACATTAGTATAGTTCCTAGCATCAGAAATGTACTCAGCAGACGATTACTAAAATGAAATACGTTGGTAGTGATAGAAGACTGTCAGCATTTAAAAATCATGCAGGCTGCATAGCTTTTAAAAATATGTAATCTTAAAAGATTTATTTCCAAATGTATCGTTTTGTGGGAGATTTGAAAAATTCCAGGAAAAGCACCCATAATGCCACCTGGAAGTAATCACAGTTAATATTCTAATGTGTCTCCTTCCAGCATTTCCTAAACATGTAGATACATACAATGATTATTTAGCTTAGCCATGGTGCATGGGTACCATGTAGATATTTCTGTGTGTTCTACATGTATAATAAATAAAACTCAGATCATAGTATATAATTTTCATGTCTTGTCTTATTCATTTAACACTCTAACATGAATATTTCTGCGTAGTTTCAAATATTCTTGGATAACATAATTTGAAATGATTAAATAGTAGCCCACTGATTAGTTATAATTTATTCATTTGTTATTGTTGGATATTTCAACATTCTAATATTTTCAATATCATAAATAATATGGCTAATAATATTGTGGTGTGTGCATCTTGAATTATACTCTAGGATAAATTCCTAGAAGTACAATTTATGGATAAATATTTTAAAGCTTCTGATTCATCTTAACAAATTTCCCTCTTTACAGATTTTTAACAATGAATATTTTTCAGGCTTTGAAGAAAGGCTGGCCTACTTTAGAACTGTCTTATTCAGTTGAACTCTTTTGAGGTTTTAGTATTTTTCTACTTAAAAAAAGATAACACTTATAGAAAATTTAATCAAATTTATAAATAGATGCTTATAAATATTCCAAATAAAAAAGACCACGAAGACAAATGCTTAATCAAGTGGTGCTTTTCCTCTTCACAGTTTCAATCAAGAAGAGCTTTTATATTTATGGTACTTTATCAAAAATATTTCCACACTTGATTCTCACAGCACAGTGGTGAAGTTATTACTACCCCCATTTTACAGATGAAGGAGTTGAGTAAAGTTAATGACTGTGCAAGGTCCTATAACCAGTGGAGGCCAAGTGAAGACTACTCAATGCAGGCTGGTGCGCCTTCCACCATACCTGGCCATTTCTCTCACCACCGTCAGCCTGTTGTGTGGTTGGTACAAATAAAATTAAACAGCCTCTCTGAGGCAAAAGAGAGGGTCAGATTAAGTCAGCTTCTTTTCCCTTTTCTCTTTTTAGCCATCTTAAAGGAATAATCAGAAAACAATTATACAGATGAATAATTTTCTTCCTAATAGTCTGGAATTATATATAATTGTCCCTCAGCATCCATGGGGGACTGGCTCCAGAGCCTTCTGCAGATACCAAAACCTGTGGATGTTCAAGTCTCTTCACAGTATTTGCATACAACCTATGCACATCCTCCCATATACTTTAAATCATCTCTAGATTACTTACAATACCTAATAAATGTAAATGCTATGTAAATTGTTGTTATATGGTATTGTTTAGAGAATAATAACAAGAAAAATTAGTTTGGATATGTCCAATACAGACTTGCTTTTTTTTTTCTGGATATTTTCAACTTTTGGTTGGTTGCCCATGGATATGAAGGACTGACTATATATATGTATGTATATATACATTACTTCAATTTCAAAAGGTAAACTTTGACCTTTTAAAATCATGTCTTTGCTTTGATCATTGGCATTTTAGCAAATGAACTCACTGAGTGAATTTGCCTCCTTGGTGAAATTCAAATGTACTGTACTTACTAAATGCAAATACCCTTCTATTTAATGGCCCCTGGCAGAATAGAACAAAGGCAAGATCTTCTTAGTCAAACAATTCATTTCTTTGTTTGTAGCACAAATCTAGATAGTTAGTAAATTTGGTCTATAATCCTAATATTTTACAAATTTTTACAAATGTGTTTTAATAAGCTTTCTGATATTAATAATGGTCACATTACTGGGCTACATTTTCTTAGTGTAGAACCTTACATTACAGTAATAGAATTTCAAAATACAATGCAGTTTTCTTGAAAACTATTTTCACTGCATTTTGAATGAAATGTAGGCATTCTTTCTAAATCAACCAAAGACAAAGTTAGACGCAGATGCAATCTCAAAATATTCCCCAGATCTGCCATTTTTCAGGCATTCCTCTTTTTGGAACGTGCTTCCTTTGATTTCTGTGTGCCGCTCCCACTTCAGAGCCATGCCTTCACATATTCTGGGCAGGCTTCCCCTCATCTTGTACTATCTTTAGGTCAGCACCCCCAGAGTATATCCTCAGCCCCCAGTCTCCCCACTCCATCAGCTTCTCCCAGTGATGGCACCCACATCATCAGTTCAAGTACTTTTTGTGCATTAATGATGTCTGAGTCTCTAACTCCAGGCCAGGCCTCTACCCTGAGCTCCAAATCCTCATTTCCAACTTCCTGTTTGAAGGTTCTATAAATATCCCATTCTTAGTGTGTCCAGAACTGAACTCATCATTTTTGCCTCAATCTAAGTGAATGAAAATACCACCCTCCATCTAGGAGCCCAAGTCAGAAAACGTGGGCACACTTTATATCCTCTCCCCAGTGAACAATCATGAAGTCCTATTGATCCTATCTTCTAAGTGTGTCATATGTCCCTTCCTTTCCCTGCCCTTCCTGTCCAGGGCCACTCTCTTTGATCGATGCTCAGAAAACCTCGTCCTTGGCAAAAGCTATTCTCTGTTGTTCTCTCTGCCTGCTGGGTCTTCTTCTTTCAGCTCATCCTCCATGCTGTTTCCAGGGTGATTCTTTGAAAATTGTAAGACTGTACCACTCCCTCCTACCAGGATGGCTATAATCAAGCAATTGAAAATAATAAGTATTGGCTGGGCGCAGTGGCTCACGCCTGTAATCCCAGCACTTTGGGAGGCCGAGGTGGGCAGATCACGAGGTCAGGAGATCGAGACCATCCTGGCTAATACGGTCAAATCCCGTCTCTACTAATAATACAAAAAATTAGCCAGGTGTGGTGGTGGGCGCCTGTAGTCCCAGCTACTTGGGAGGCTGAGGTAGGAGAATGGCGTGAACTCAGGAGGCAGAGCTTGCAGTGAGCCGAGATCACGCCACTGCACTCCAGCCTGGGTGACACAGCGAGACTCCGTCTCAAAAAATAAAAAATAAAAAAAAATAATAATAAGTATCAGTGAGGATGAAGAAAATGGAACTCTTGTACACTACTCATGGGAATGTAACATGATACAGCCACTGTGGAAAACAGTATAGCAGTTCCTCAAAAACTAAACAGAATTCTCATATAACCCAGCAACTCTCTCCTAGGCATGTATCTGAAAGAATGGAAAGCAAGGACTAAAACGGGTATTTGTACATCAATGTTCATAGTAGCATTACTCACAATAGCCAAAAAGTGGAAATAACCCATCAACAGAGGACTGGATAAATCAAATATGGTGTATACACACAGTGGAATATTATTCAGCCATAAACAGGAATGAAATTCTGACACATACTATAATATGGATGAAACTTGAAGACATTATGCTAAGTGAAATAAGTCAGACACAAAAGAACAAACATCATATAATTCCACCTTTTTTTTTTTTTTTTTGAGATAGAGTCTCTCTCTGTCACCCAGGCTGGAGTGCAGTGGCACGACCTTGGCTCACTGCAACCTCCACTTCCTAGGTTCAAGCAATTCTCCTGCCTCAGCCTCTCAAGTAGCTGGGACTACAGGCGCATGCCGCCATGCCTGGCTAATTTTTTTGTATTTTTAGTAGAGATGGGGTTTCACCATGTTGCCCAGGCTGGTTGCAAACTCCTAAGCTCAGGCAGTCCACCCACCTTGGACTCCCACTTACGTGAAATAGTGGCAATTTGCTAGAATAAGCAAATTCATAGAGCCAGAAAATATACTAGAGGTTAGCAGGGGATCAGGAGAGAGGAGAATGGGAATGCTATTGTTTATGGACACAGAGTTCTTCTTTGGGGTGATTTAAAAGTTTTAGAAATAGAGGTGATGGTCTACAATACTGAATGTAATTGATGCCAATTAATTGTACACTTAATAGTGGTTCAAATGGCAAATTTCATGTTATTTATATATATATGTGTGTGTGTGTGTGTATGTATTTACCATAATAAAAAAGTGAAAAAGTGCAGAGGCAATGAATTCTTTAAAAAATATAAATCTGATCAAGTTCTTCTCATGCTTAGAATTCTTCAGTTTTCCTACTGCATTCAAGATAGTTTTCAGATTCTTCAGTTCAGCAGATCTTTCATGACTTAGTTCGTGTTTATCCCTCAACTCTCATAGCTCACCCCCCTCTAAGTGCACCCTCTGCTCTATGGTGACAACCACTCATTTCCTGATCAGGAGTATGCAACTACATACCTGTATGCCTGCACGGTTGTTCTTTCCACCTAAAATATCTTCTCCATTCCTGCTCTGTAGACTCTCTTCTTCTCTCCTGTTTTTAAATGTATTTTTATATTGATAGGGCCTCACTCTTGTCACCCAGGCTGGAATGCAGTGGCGTGACCATAGCTCACTGCAGCCTCGAACTTCTGGGCTCAAGAGATCTTCCCGCCTCTGCCTCCCAAAGTGCTGGGATTACAGGCATACGCCATCATACCTGGCTGTAGACTCATTTCTATTCTTCATTTAAAACTTAGCTTAAGTCAACTTTTCCAGGAAGCATTTAAATCTTATTTAAATGCCCAACTTTATTTGCTGACATAGTACCCAGGGTCTCTATTATAGCAGTTATGATGATGTAAAATAATTGTTTGTATCTTTTCCACTTGCACAAGTTTCTCGTACCTTTGTGTCTCTGTCTCTCCTAGTCTACTAACTGTCACATAGTAGCAACCCAATAAATGTTTAATGACTACATTCCACAGATTCATCAAAGACCCTTCTAAAGAACCAGCTCTCCAGCCGGGTGCGGTGGCTTATGCCTATAATCCCAGCACTTTGGGAGGCCAAGGTGGGTGGATCACGAGGTCAAGAGATTGAGACCATCCTGGCCAACATGGTGAAACCTCATCTCTACTAAAAATACAAAAATTAGCCGGGTGTGTCGGCGGGTGCCTGTAGTCCCAGCTACTCGGGAGGCTGAGGCAGAAGAATCACTTGAACCCAGGAGGCGGAGGTTGCAGTGAGCCGAGATTGCGCCATTTGCACTCCAGCCTGGCGACAGAGTGAGACTCTGTCTCAAAAAACAGAAAACAAAAAACAAAAAAGAACCAGCTCTCCATTCAAAACCAACAGTGCCACAGAAAGGGTGGACATTCTCATATATTTTTCCTTTTTAAAAAGATCCAGCACTCTGAGGCTATGTGAGTGAAATCAGCCTCTCACCTATTGACTGGCTTTCCTGCACTGAGTCCTGGGGAAAGACACTATATAGTCAGCACCACGTACTTTGACATCCATAATTTCATTAAAGGGAATAGAATCTGGTAGGATAAAGGAAGGATTGGGGCAGGAAGGAGAAGCTCTGGGATAGATGATGAGCAAATCAGTGGGACGTGTATCATGTTTTCACTGCCACTCTATGCCCTCTTCAAGTAGGGGAGAGAGTATGTCAAAGACAGTCCAGGACTTACCTGCTGCCACTGGAGGCTGATATTTCTATCCTTGTTGAAAGAAGATAGGTAAGGGGATTCTGAGAAAGCTTTTCCACCACTTTTTCTGTCATGATTCCTGACCTGGAAGGAAGGAGGCCTTGGGTCACCCCCTACCCAGATGTTCTGGGAATGGACAGCAAGCCTGTCCTCAAGTGGAGAAAGTAGCCTACTGTGTCCAGCTACCCAGTGATAGGAAGCTGGGTGAAGTGGAGAAAATACCACATCTGGAATCAGGCATTCTAACAAGCTGTGTGATGCTGGGCAAACTGCTTGACATTTCTGAGTTCTAGCTTCTTCCTTTTCTAAAATGTGAGTAGTTACCTAAATAATCTTCAGTGTTGCTTGCTGACAAAAAAATGCCATACTGTCAGTACTTCGCATGTTTCTTATATTTTTGCTAGCACTGACTCCACTTTCCATTTCACCCCCAAACCACTGCAAGGTCTCATCTGTGCCCTCCATGTGGCATGAAGCTGGGCTACCTCTATATTCACTGTTTCTACTTCAATTGCTAAAATCATATTTAGACACCAAGAAAGAACAATGGTGCCTATGATTCTGAAGAATAAGGAAGAAAATAAAAAGAACTAACAGTCACTTTCAGTTCAAGATAAGTGGGAGCTACTGACTGATAATTTAGAATGGAAAACAGCTACATAGTCTAAAAAGACTGTCACTTCATCAACTATAGTTTTCAGAAGCATCCATGTTAATGGAAGAGACTAAGGGAATAGAGACAACCAAAAACAGTAGAAAACCTTCCAATCATTTATATGTGGCGTGGGAAGTGCTTTAGTATTTACTGCCTTGGGAACTGAAGCTAAATTATAAAGTGTATTGGGAAGAACTGAGTTAAAAAGAGCTAGCATGTGCCCACTTTGTAAATAAAGAGCTGAATACCACCCCCCCCACCAAAAAAGAAAAAAAAAGAGCTAGGATGTTTTATTATGTCCTTATCTTGACCTCCAACTCCCAACTCAGGATTTTTCCTTTCATTCATGATGGATAACTGTCATCAACTCTCACATTTATGTAAAGTACCAGCCTACGATGAGTTGCTATAGATGGCTATCTTTACTTTTACTTAATGTTTTCTAAATTTTATACCTATTTATTTAGAGATGGGGTCTTGCGGGTCTCAAACATCTGGGCTCAAACGAACCTACCTCAGCCGCCTGCGTAGCTAGTACTGCAGGCGTGTGCCACTGCACCTGGCTTGCCCTGATGTTTTCACCATATAAACTCTAGCTTTGGGGAAGTCATTAAAGAATATTTAGGACTGAAGCTGCAGGGGTAACAAAAATAAATAGGGAGATAGTGGGCATTCTCAACATTGACTTTATTATCAATTTGACTTAATAAATAGGGAAAGCACGAATTTTATATGATTAAACTGACCACAGATAACCAAGGGTTGGTTATTCTATACATGACGAGTAAGGTGAGAAGTAGTCATTATTATTTTAAATCAAACATCCAAGGTGTTTTCCTCATGTTTATAAGTATTTCAATAAGGAAGGCAAGTATCTTGCCATGACCATAAACATTAACCAAATAAAACTCATGTTCCTATGTCTCTTTCTGACTCCAGCTGACCCTCCTAGACACCTTTCTTCAGAGCTGGATGGAAAAGTTCCAAGTCAGTCACCGACAAAGGTAGCAGATGGGTGGATAAGTACTCTCCCATCTCCAAATGTTACCATGAACTTGGAAATAATTAATGATTTTAAAAGGAATATTTTCCTCTTCTCCCTAAAGTCAAAGATCTCACTGGGTTAGAGGACCAAATTCACTTACTGGGATGGGTCTGAATCACTTCCTTTGCGTTTTCGTGGAAACTCTGTCATGTGTGAGCTGAAAGACCCCATAGCTGTTGGTCTTGTCCCTGGACTCACGCGGCTGGAAACCACAGGAGCAATGCACTGGTTCTCCTCTCTCAACACTTTACCTATGGGCAGCAGAGTACAACAAGACATTTATTTTAAACATTAACTTTTACTTTGTACATATCCATATCACACATTTTAAATGACTTTTCTATCTTGATATTTAAAAAATACCAGCTAAGGCCAGGCGCTGTGGCTCATGCCTGTAATCCCAGCACTTTGTAAGGCTGAGGCGGGTGGATCACCTGAGGTCAGGAGATCAAGACCAGTCTGGCCAACACAGCAAAACCCCATCTCTATTAAAGTACAGAAATTAGCCAGGCACAATGTGGGCATCTGTAATCCCAGCTACTTGGGTGGCTGAGGCAGGAGAATTCCTTGAACCTGGGAGGCAGAGGTTGCAGTGAGCTGAGATCATGCTACTGTACTCCAGCCTGGGCAACAGAGCGAGACTCCCTCTCAAAAAAAATGTGTATACATATATATATATATACACACACACACACACATTATATCTATATATACACATTATATATATACACACATTATATATATATAGACACATTTTAAATATATATACCAGCCAAAACCAACATAACACAGAATGAAAGACTAATTGTGTACACTCAAGTATTAATTAAATAAGCATTTGTTAGTCCATGTTTTTAAGGCTTTCCCCCTATATTGTAAAAGAAATTTGAATATGGTAGAAAACACAGAAAACACAGAAAAATAGAAAGGAAGGGGGAAATCCAAATTTTTTCCCAATGTTACACAAACCAATGTTACAATCCTTTTGAGATATTTCTTCTGAGAATTTTTTTCTATAGTTATCATTAAGGTAATTGAAATCATACAGTATACAGTAGTCCCCTCTTATCTGCAGTTTTGCCTTCTGTGGTTTCAGTTACCCGTGGTCAACTTTGGTCTGAAAATATTAAATGGAAAATTCCAGAAATAAATCATTCATAAGTTATCAACTGCACACGGTTCTGAGTAGCAGGATGAAATCTCACACCACAGTCATCCCTCTGTCCAGCATATCCACGCTGCATATGTCACCTGCCCGCGAGTCACTTAGTAGCTGGTTCGGTTATTAGATCCACTGTTGCAGTACCACAGTGCTGGTGTTCAAAGAACCCTTATTTTGCTTAATAGTGGCCTCAAAGCACAAGAGTAATGATGCTGGCATATTGTTATAATTGTTCTACCTTATTATTAATTATTGTAGTTAATCTCTTACTATGCTGAATTTATAAATTAAACTTTTATCATAGGTATGTATGTATAGGAAAAATTCATAAATGTAGAGCTTGGTATTATCCGCAGTTTCAGGCATCCACTGGGGAGTCTCAGAATGTATCCGCCATGGGTAAGAGGGGCCGACTGTCATCAGATTTATGTGTCATTGTGACATAATAACTTTCCAGTTTTATTACAAATTCTTTATAAATGACTCTAATGGATGTATAATACACTGTCATGTAGCTGTGTCCAGTTATTTAACCACTCTCCTATTGTTAGAACCTACATTTAATTTTATTTTATTTGCCAGTACAAATACATACTTTGGTACATAAAGCTTTTTATCTACTTCTGGTTATTTTGGACACTATCCCAGAAATGGGTTAACAAGGTCAAGAGATATCAATATTTTTAACTCTGAATTGCTAAGTGTGATTTTAAAAAATCCTTTTTGTCTCAAGTGAGGTTTATTAAATGTTTTACAAAATATAAAAATCAGAATAACTGAACCAAAATAACCTATAGTCTAAATTTGAGAATCTGTAACTATATTTCTCATATTAAAATGCATATAAAAAGTTTAAAGCAATTTGTACCTAATAACACAGATTGAAAATATATAACAATATTTACAAGGAGAATGTAATAAGTCTACAATAATAGTGGAAGATTTTTAACACATCTTTAACAGTAACTGATAGATCAAGTAGTAAAAATAATGATATGGAAGATTTAACTGGCACAATCAGCAAGCTTCATATAATAGACATATATGGAGCACTATGCCTAGTAGCTTGAAACACCAGTGTTAATTGTTTTTGGCCAACTATGGAGCATTTATAAAGACTGACAATATATTGGACCAAAAACCAGTCTCAAAGATTTTGACAAATTGATATCATACATAAAACATTTTCTGACTTCAGTGTAATTGTGTTGGAAGCCAGGAACAAAAAGATAACCAGAAAATCCCTATATCTTTGTAAATTAAGAAACCCACAAATAATTCATGGGGCAAGAGGAAATTCAAATGTAAAATGACAAAATATTTGTAATTAAGTATTAATAAAAATGTCACACAATGCATAAGCATTACTTAGCATGAAATTTTAACAATGTTTAAAAAAAGAAAAATTGAAATATAATAAGTAAATAATTTAAGAAATCAGAAAAAGATCAGTAAAATAAATCCAAAGAACTAGAAGAAAGAAAATCATAAGACCAGAAATAATGAAATAGAATATAAACATATAAGAGTGTAGATTTAAAAAGCTAAACAAAGTTTCTTCCAGATGATTGTAAACTCTAACAACTTTATGGCAAGATTTTTCAAAGAAAAAAATGTACAAAAAAAAAATTTGGGGTCATAATTGAGATGCCCTAGAAATTTAAAAGATAATAAAATACCATTAAAAATCATGCTAAATATTTAAAAATTTAGATGGAATGAAACATTTTCTATAGAATTTTAACTTACCGAAATTGAAACAAAAATAAATAAAAACCTGAATATTCCTATATTCTTCCTTACACAAACTATTCCACTATATGAAAAAAAGAGGGACTACCCTGACCCCCAACTTTTCTTTGTCAAGGAGGCTTACATAATTTTGATATTAAAACCTGACAAGGACAGTACAAAAGGAAAATTACAGGCCAATCTCATTCACAAACAAAAATACAAAAATCTTAACAAAACATTATCAAACAAAATTCAGAAATGAATAAAAATAATCATCCATCATGACTAAGTTTCATCCTAGGGATGCAGGAGTGCCTTCATATTAGTAATTAATGAATATAATTTACCACAATAACAGATAAATGAAAAACTATACAATCATCTCAGGAAATGTAGAAATATTAGTGAAGAAATATTGAAAGTGTTCTTTTTAAGATCAGAAACAAGAACACCCTTAATTCTATATTAGAAGAGCTCACAGTAGGGTAAGGCAAGAAAAAGGAAAATGAAATATAAAATTAAGAAATAAAATTGTTTTGCTCTTATTGGGAAATGATATGATTGACTACATAGAAAATCCAAAATAATCAACATATAAATCATTAAAGTTAGAGGATATAGCAAGTTGGCTGTATATAAATCAATATGTAAAAATCAATTGCCTTTCTATCCAAAGTAACAAATAGTAAGACAATGATATTTAAAAGATAGAATTTATAATAATCTCAAAAATACAGAGTATCTAAAGAATAAATCTAATAAATGTATAAGGTCTTTAGGGAAAAACTAAAACTTTATTTAAAACATTTTAAAAGATCCAAACAAATGGAAAGATATGCCAGGCTTTTGAATTGGAGGCTTCAATATACTAAAGATGTAAATTATCCTAAAATAGATGTGTAATTCCTCTCAAAATACATAATTTTTTGGTGGAAGCTTTCAAGTGGAATATACAACTATGTGAACAGTATACAGAAGAACAATGGGTCATGAATAACCAAGCAAAAGGTGGGAAGACTGGTCCTATCAGATATCAAGACTTGTAAAGACACAGTAATTAAGACAGTGTAGTACTGGTATGAGGATAGACAGATGAATGGAAGAGAACAAAGAGCCCAGACATGTATATATGGACATCTGCTAAATATCAAAGGTGGTAAAAGATCAATGTGGGGAAAAAAAATAACTTTTTAATAAATGGTCCGGGATCAATTGGTTTTCTCTATGGAAAAGATGAAACGGGACTCCCTGTGTTACACCAAATACAAAAACAAATCCAGTTGGATTTGAGACCTAAATTTAAAAAATAAAAACAGAATACAGAAAACTTTTGCTATGGTTTGAATGTTTGTGTTCCTCCGAAATTCATGTGGAAACTTAATTCCCAGTTCAACAATATTAAAAGGTGGGGCCACTAGGAGGTGATTAGGTCATGCATGCTCCACCCTCATAGACAGGATTAGTGCCACCGTAAAAGGGCTGAGAGGACAAGTTTGTCCCGTCCATTCCTTTGCCTCTTCTGCCAAGTGAGGATGCAGCAAGAAGATACCATCGTAGAAGCAGATGGAGCAGCCCTCACCAGACAATGAAGTTGCCCGTGCCTTGATCTTGGACTTCCCAGCCTCTAGAATTGTCAGAAATAACTACCTGTTGTTTTAAATTACCCAGCCTAAGGTGTTTTGTTATAGCAGCATCAATGGACTAAGAAAACTCTAAAGGAGGGAGAGTATTTTTATTTCATAGAAAGAAATTCCCAAGACATAAAATGTAAAAACAATAAAGGAAAAGATTGTTAAATGTGACAATCTTTAAGTTAATGTTGATTGAAAGACACTACAAAGAAAATGAAACCACAAGCCACAAACTGGGAAAAGATATTTGTTAGACATATAAACAACAAAGGGTTAATATTCAGATTATATAAAGAATGGCTTTGAATCAATAAGAAAAAGACCAATGACTCTCAATAGAAAACTGGATAAAATAACTTGAATAGGCACTTCATAAAAGAAATTCCAGTTGTCAACACATGGATGAAAAGATACTCAATCTCATTGGTAACCAGGAAAATCCTAAGGAAACTGTAGTGATATACTAATATATGATGGCTACAATTGAAAAATTTGATGATATCAAGTGTTGGTGAGGATGAGGAGCAATGGAAACGCTCATGCTCTGCTGGCAAGCATGTAAGTTGCTACAGCCACTTTGGAAACCATTTTTGCATTACCTAATAAAGGTGAACACATATATAATATATGACTTGGCATTCCCCTCCTAGGTATATGGAAAACTCTTACTGTGTATTAGCTGACAGGTATAAGAAATGCATTAGCAACATTGCTTGTAATTGAACAACAACAATGAAAACCTGAGAAAACTGGAAACTTGAAATTTTCATCAGCAAAATGGGTACATTGCTTAGTTACTGAATGGAATACTAACAGCAGCAAAAATGAATGAAGTCCAGCTATACTCAACATGGATGAATCAAAAAACATAATGCTGGCCAGGTGCAGTGGCTCATGCCTGTAATCCCAGCATGAAGACTTGGAAGGCCAAGGTAAGAGGATCACGTAAGGCCAGAAGTTTGAGACCAGCCTGGGCAACACAGCAAGATGCTGTCTCTACAAAAAAATTTTAAAACTAGCCAAGCATGGTGGTGTGCACATATAGTCTTAGCTACTCAAGAGGCTGAGGTGGGAGGATTGCCTGAGTCCAGGAGTTGAGGGTTACAGTGAGTGTGCTGCACTCCAGCCTGGGTGACAGAGTGAGACCCTGTCTTCTAAAACAAACAACAACAACAACAACAAAAACCGATAATGCTGAAGGGAAAAAAGTCACAGTCAAAAACACATTGCATGTTTTTAAAAATTTATATAAAGTTCAAAAACAAGTAAACTAAAAAAAAAGTAAAACTAATCAATTTTTAGGAATATTTGGGTTTTTTAGAAATTTTTTTTGTATAGAGATATCTCCCTATACAGAAAGCAAGGGGGTAGTTAAGACAAAAGTCAGAACAGTGGTTCTCTTCGGGAAAAGAAAGGGGGGTGTGACCATGAGGGACACACAGGGACTTCTAAGGAATTCATGTTCTACCTCTTTCACAGATCAATGTCTTATCTTTCTTCTTTAAACAGTACACATTATTTTTACCATCTTCACAGGTATAATAGATCTCACAATAAAGAAGTGGGGAGAATAATTTTACCAGTGATCGTGAGGCACTTTGGAATTAAGTTTCCAGTCTACAACATCCCAAGACTTCTAGGCCTGGATTCTCTAAATGGGACCAGTTCAGGATCACCACCTACCACATGAGATCAAATATGGCTTCAGCTCCTAGACTTCATTCTAATGGATTTTGAATGACAGATTACCATCTGTCTCCACAGAAAAAGTGCAGGGAATTTATTTCATCAAATGACAAATCAAAAGGAAAAATTCACTCCCGTTAAACCACAGCATACCCTGGAATATATAATACCAGACCCTCAACCATTCCCCCTACTTCCAACACACACTCTGCAAGTACATTCTTTCCCTCACATAAGTTCAGAGACAGAAATAAAACGAAGATTTTTTTTTTTTTGCCTCCCATTCTGGGAAGCATGATCTTCACATGTTTCTATCCTACTTCCTTATTAACCTTTAAATAAGGAATGTGAATTATCTTTAGGCAGGCAGAATAATCTTCTCTTCACAAAATAAAAATCTGAAGCTTTAAGGGTCTTTATTAATGGGTGGGGAGTATTGCCTTATAATTAGCTATGTTCCATTGACTCTATGTCAGTAGAAGTATATTCAAAACAGAGGGCTTTCTGTAAGCAAAAGGAAAATATGGGTTAGTGAGACTAGTTAGTTTTAGCTGAAAGGATCTGTTCTTTGGAAATAATCTCCATGTTGCAGATTCTTATTTTTGTTAGTAGGTGACTCATAATTTAAGGAGTAAAAATTTCATTTTTAACTTTCCAGTTTACTTGACTTTCTGCCTCCACATATACATCTGCAGAAGATGAGACCATGTGTTAGGAATTGAAGTTCAGCTCTGCTTTTATATAACTCATTTTGGAAGTATATGACTTAATGTTTTGATATTGTCTTTCCTTGCCAAATTGAGTGACTTCTCAGTGGTGAATGTAATATGTGTTCTTTAACACTCAATAAAATAATACAGAATTTAGGTTAAACGAAGATATCGTGATTGCCTTTTTACAAAGAAAGTTTGTGATTTTACTTAAAATGAGATTAGCATTAAATCTCACTCCACTCTGTCTGTCTCCCTGGTGATGATAATCAATCTTGCAATATTTCAAAGGTCTACTATTTAGTATCAATTCCTCAAGGAGGAAAATAAATTACGGGAAATGAGCAGCCGTTTGGAAGTCATAACCAAGGGAAGCCAAGTAGCCACTTGGTTTAGGCTCATAGTTACAAATGGGTTCAAATTTGGAATTTGGCATTGTGGTTGAAAGAGAATACACATTGGGTATACACACATGCACACACAGATTCACAGAAGCCACGGCAAAATGGCTTCTTTCATTTTTCATAAAAGTTTAAAACTTTTGTTCCATTACCTACTTTCGTAGCCAATAGTGTGCTATATCTTAAAATTTGTGTAAATTTTCATTATCTTGTAAATAACTTTTGGTTAAAAATAATTTATTCTGTGTAAACGTTTAAATTACTTCCTTGAGAAATGAAAGTGGCCTTTAATTCTTAACTTCTGAGAGTCCAAACCCGGAAAAATCTTTGTGGTCCCATCTAACCACTACCTTGTTAGTACTGTTTTTTTTTTTTTTTTTTTTTTGGACAAATCACTTAACATAACCAACCCTATTTCTTTAAGATGGAAGAAATTTCCCGCAAACCACATTTGCTTGTTTCAGAATCAAATAAGAAAATGTACACAAATCTGTTTGAAAACCAGAAGGTTACTGATGCTAATTAAGTAACTAGCCCAGCAAAAATGCATCAACATTGTTGGTGAGCCATTGTAGATGCCTAAGGTGTCAGGAAAACAACATTGAGTTAATGTTGTTGCTTTATTTTTAATTATAAAGCTGTTAACCTTTTTATCTTGAAATAATTTCAGGCTGGCAAAGATAGTGTAAAGAATTCCCATATACCCTTCAATAATATTCCCCAAATGATAATGTCATTCTTAACCCCAGCATAATTATCAAGATCAGGAAATTAACAGTGATACACAATTATTATCTAATTGACAGATCTTATACAAATTTTGTCAATTGTCCTAATGTCCTTTGCTGGTCCAGGATCACAATGCATTTAGCACCTGCCACCTGTCCTTTGTTTCCTTTCATCTGTAATGGTTCCTCAGGCTTCTTTTGTCTTTCTTGAGACTTTTGAAGGGTACTGGGAAGTTATTTTCTAGAATGTCCTCCAGCTTAAGTTTGTCTGATATTCCCTCATGACTAAATTTAGATTGTGCATATTTGTCAAGAATACCACAAAAATGATGCTGTGCCCTTCTCAGTGCTAAATTCCTTCTCTTTTACATTTTACTGCTGCTAGTACTTTTTTTTTTTTTTTTTTTTTAAATAGGGTCTCACTCTGTCACCCAGGCTGGAGTGCAGCGGCACAATCTCAGCTCACTGCAAACTCCACCTCCTGGGCTCAAGCCATCCTCCCACCTCAGCCTCCTAAGTAGCTGGGACTACAGGCACACCCACCACACCCAGCTAATTTGCTTGAATTTATTGCTTCATTAAGATCCTGCTCCTCCAGATTCCAAATGGTGTTCAGTTCATGGAATAAACAGAAGTGGCAGAGGAAAGGTTTATGAGATCCTCCATAAGGCTATATGTTCCAATACTGCAAAGCCTTTGAGGACCACAGCAGACTTCTTTATCTTTATCCCTAAATCCTGGCACAGTGCCTGACACAGAGTAAGTTTTTGTTTGTTTTTGAGACAAGGTCTTGCTTTGTTGCCCATACTGGAGTGCAGCGGTGCAATCATGGCTCACTGCAACCTCTGCCTCCTGGGCTCAAGCGATATTCCTATCTCAGTCTCCCAAGTAGCTGGGACTACAGGCACGTACCACCATACCCATTTGATTTTTTAAAAAAAATTTCTGTAAGGATTTCGCTGTGTTGACCAGGCTGGTCTCAAACTCCTGGGCTCAAGCGATCCTCAGCCTCCCAAAGTGCTGGGAATATAGGCATGAGCCACCATGCCCAGCCCCACAGTAAGTACCGAGGGTTTATTCAAAGAATAAATTACATTCACTTTATTACCCCAGACATCCAAAAGAGAATCTGAAAGATGTGAAATCAGAACTTCCAGTTTCACCTTCCTGAGCTGAGGCCACACTGTGTTTCATTGTTCTTGCAACAAGGAACATGGAAGTTCCTGCTATCCCTACTTCACAAACAAGGAGGCGTACTTTCTACCATTATTTCAATTATTTCATTTATATCATTTTTCTTTCACAGAAGAAAAAAGACACTTGATTGTCTGCTTTGGAAAAAAGGCACTGTGTGGTACAGGATTTGGCATCTTGGAAAGCCTTCTAGAATGACAAGCAGTTATTGTTTTATAGGTTTGTGGTAATGCGTTACAACGGAAACCAAATACTGTTGCTTACCATTGACACATTACTTTAAGATCCTTAGTCACATGATGGATAGAAATTAAGTATTAATTGGCACTATTCAAGAACAATGCCATGTATAGATAGTATTACACATAAATTACATTAAAAAATTTGCGCAACAGAGATAAAAAATATTTTATTATTTCACAGTATTTAAGAGCCTAATCCAGGTGGTAGATATCTTAAAAAGTTAAGATTTAGTACCTACCCTCGAGAAGTTTATAATCCTGTATATTTTTTGTGCATGTATAAGTGCATAGATATATTAACCAAATACAGAATGAAATTAGACCTAGATAGAGGTACAAGTTTGTGCTGCAAGAACACAGAGATAAGGGCACTTAATTCTGTTTGGGGGAAGGGAGTAACATCTGAACACATTTTTCTGGATGGGTGTTTTAGGCTTCGAGAACACTATGAATAGGAGGTAGCAAATGCATTCAGTAAAATCCTATGCCATCATTTAAAATGATTATGAATTTTATAAATACAGAAAATGCCCTTTAAGGAATCTCCAGTTTCCTATAGTGGTTGTACTAGTTTACATTCCCACCAGCAGTGTAAAAGTGTTCCCTGTTCACCACATCCCTGCCAACATCTATTATTTTTTGATTTTTTGATTATGACCATTCTTGCAAGAGTAAGGTGGTATCACACTGTGGTTTTGATTTGCATTTCCATGATCATTAGTGATGTTGAGCATTTCTTCATATGTTTGTTGGCCATTTGTATATCTTCTTTTGAGAACTGTCTATTAATGTCCTTAGCCCACTTTTTGATGGGATTATTATTACTAATTTGTTGGAGTTCCTTGTAGATTCTGGATATTAGTCCTTTGTCAGATGTATAGATAGCGAAGATTTTCTCCCACTCTCTGGGTTGTCTATCAACTCTGCTGATTACTTCTTTTGCTGTGCAGAAGCTTTTTAGTTTAATTAAGTCTCATCTATTTATAAAATAAATAAATATAAAAAATAAATTTATTTATTTATCTTTGCTTTTGTTGCATTTGCTTCTGGGTTCTTGGTCTTGAACTCTTTGCCTAAGCCAATGTCTAGAAGGGTTTTTCTGATGTTATCTTCTAGAATTTTTACGGTTTTAGGTCTTAGATTTAAGTCCTTGATCCATCTTGAGATGATTTTGTATAATGTGAGAGATGAAAATCCAGTTTCATTCTTCTCCATGTGGCTTGCCAATTATATCAGCACCATTTGTTTAAAAGGGTGTCCTTTCCCCACTTTATGTTTTTGTTTATCGAAGATCAGTTGGCTGTAAATATTTGGCTTTATTTCTGGGTTCTCTATTCTGTTCCTTCGGTTTGTGTGCCTATTTTCATACCAGTACCATGCTGCTTTGGTGACTATGCCCTAATAGTATAGTGTGAAGTCAGGTAATGTGATGCCTGCAGATTTGTTCTTTTGGCTTAGTCTTGCGCTTTGGCTATGTGGATTCTTTTTTGGCTCCATATGAATTTCAGGATTGTTTTTTCTAGTTCTGTGAAGAATGATGGTAGTATTCTGATGGGAATTTCATTGATTTGTAGATTGCTTTTGGCAATATGGTCATTTTCACAATATTGATTCTACCCATCCATGAGCATGGGATGTGTTTCCATTTGTCAGTGTCATTTATGATTTCTTTCAGTAGTGCTTTGTAGTTTTCCTTGTAGAGGTCTTTTATCTCCTTGGTTAGGTATATTCCTAAGTATTTTATTTTCCCACTACTAGGTATCTACCAAGAGGAAAAGAAGTCATTATATAAAAAAGATATTTGCACATGCATGTTTACAGCAGCACAATTCACAATTGCAAAAATATGGAATCAGCACAAATGCCCATCAATCAAGAAGTGGATAAAGAAATTGTGATATATATAAAATACATATACTACTCAGCCATAAAAAGGAATGAAATAATGTCATTTGCAGCGACCTGGATGGAATTGGAGCCAATTATTCTAAGTGAAGTAACTCGGGAATGGAAAACCAAACATCACATGTTCTCACTCATAAGTGAGAACTAAGCTATGAGGACACAAAGGCATAAGAATAATACAACGGACTTTGGGGACTCGAGGGGAAAGGGTGGGGGGGTGAGGGATAAAAGGCTACACATTGGGTACAGTGTATACTGCTCGGGTGATGGGTGCACCAAGATTCCAGAAATCACCACTAAAGAACTTATTCATGTAACCAAACACCACCTGTTCCCCCAAAACCTATGGAAATAAAAAATAAATGCTTACGTAATGTTTAGTTTTTAAAAAGGAGGATGAAAGACTATGGAAAAACAAGAAACAAAAATAATGCCATTTGCAAGGGAGATAAAAAACACACATAATAAAATGTTACTAGGAGTTTTATCTCAGTAGCCAATCAAAGGATTTTTCTCATTTCTACTTCCCTATATTGTTCCAAACTTTTCTAAGTATCACGTCTTACTTTTGTAAGACATACACGCAACTTAGAGAAAAGAAGGCGTATGGACTATTGGGGGATAGCAAGATCAGTATGGCTGGCCACAGCGTAAAACTGATGTGAGATCAAGCTTGAAACGTAGATTGTACTAGTTCATGGAGGGCCCTGGATGTAACACCAAGGGGTCTGAGCTTTATCTCCAGGTAGTGGGAAGCTAATGTAGTTACCTAGGACTGCCTCAGCCCTATTCACTACTGAGGCCAATCCTCACCAAGGCAGGGGGAACATTTACAATGTTCTCCCTCCTAGCAAATCAGTTCTGAAATTAGTCTTCCTAGCAAAAGCTACAACTTTCATCATAATGCATTCCACCTTCGCCTAAACAGATAAGAGGCCAGTCATTCTGTTTATTTCTGTAATAAAGACTGTAATCCAAGCTGTATAATTTAAACCCTCTCCATCTTGGTTGGGGAAATATGGCTCAGCTGCTAAGCCTGGACAGGGAAGGCCAAAAATCATTTTAGGCAGGGGTCAGGAGCCCAAAATATCACATCTCAGATACAATATTAAAACATCACAGAAGGATCTGATTCTTCTGGCCTTGGCCTCAAAAGTAGCAAGATGTCTAAAAGGGAAGTCCTGAGGATGGTTAAGATTAATTCATCTTAGGGGAGCGAAGGCTCACATATGAGGTGAGAAAGGAACCCAGGTGGAAGTTCCTGGGACAAAGCATAACTGTCTCAGGCTCCATAAACTAAAATGCATTAGGCTCATTTTCTGTCAATTTTTATTTTAAGACTGTTAGTTTCTGTGAATTCCAAATAATAAAGGAGAAACCACACACTGCTAGATTCCAAGGACATAGAGCTCGGCTGGCATGTGATTTTGTCCATGATCACATAACAGCTGGAGAACTGAAGCAGAGAAAATAGATGTTTTGGGTTGCCCAAGGCCAGCAACTTCCCAGGGAAGTATGTAGAAGTTCGAAAGGATAAACAGGTAAGTGGTGTCTATCACATCATAGTTAAATGGTACATCACAGAGCACAGGCTGGGCAGGAAAGCAAGAGACACACAGAAGGAGCTGAAAAAGGAACTCTGGGAAGTGGATGGAATACTTGGAAATAACATTAGGATGACAAAGAAATTTGGTGTCAGTGGGAGAGCCATAAAAATATGAAACCATGATTTGCAGAGAGAAGTTCAGACTTGGGGATTCAGAGGTGAAGAATTTCCAGCTGATTAAGGGGTCTATGGAGCACTGTTTGCAGCGAATTGAGGACAGAGTGTGTTAAAAAAGAGAAGACCCATGTTGCCTAGTGTAACATCAGGGGATGGGGAGGAGAGGAAATGTCTCTAAGAATATGATGCAGCAGCACCCTGAAGGTCAGCAGAAGATTAAAACAGGTATGAGATGAGAGTGCAATAAACAGAAAACCAAAATCAAGGCAATAAATGACAGTGAGGAATAACGTCTGGAAATGGCAATGAGGCTCAAATAAAAAGTGAGGTCAACCTCACTTCCTAGTGCTGAAATACACAAGACAGTGATTGGCTTCCATAATGTCTCTTTAGTTAATTCCTTAAAATTTGGGCTGACCATATTACTACTAATCTAGTAATCACTGAATTATAAAAACATCTTATTTTTGGCCTATTTAATGAATTAAGACCGATCATTTGTTGAGCTGGCAAAGGTGCCTTACAGAAGGGGAAGGGGTGAGAAGACATCCTCATAATTTCATATATTTCTAGTAGGAAGGAAAACTGGTACAGGTTGAATATCCCTTAACTGAAATGTTTAGGAGAAGTGTGTCAGAATTTGGATTGTTTTGGATTTTGGAATATCCGCAGATACCTAGTAAGATACCAAGCGTAAATATGGAAGTCACTTATGTTTCATATACACTTTATACACAAAACATGAAGATAATTTTATACAATATTTTAAGTAATTTTTGCACAAAACAATGTGTTGACTGTGTTTTGGGTTTTTTTTAAATCTCATTTTAGGTTTAAGGGATATATGTGCAGGTTTGTTATATGTGTAAACTGCATGTTGCTGGGGTTTGGCAGACAAATGATTTCATTACCCAGGTAGGGAGCACAGTGCCCAATAGGTAATTTTTTAACCCTCACCCTTCTTCCCACCCTCTGCCTTCAAGTAGGCCCCGATGTCTATTGTTCCTCTTTTTGTGTCCATGTGTACTCAGTGTTTAGCTCCCACTAATAACTGAGAACATACACTATTTGGTTTTCTGTTCCTGTGTTAATTTGCCTAGGATAATAACCTCCAGCTCCATCCGTGTTGCTGCAAAGGACATGACTGCATTCTTTTTTATGGCTGTGTAGCACTCCCTGGTGTGTATGTACCACATTTTCTTTGTCCAGTCCGCCACTGATGAGCACCTAGGTTGATTCCCTGTATTTGCTATTTTGAATAGTGTTGCAGTGAACATATGAATGCATATGTCTTTTTGGTAGAACAATTTATATTCCTTTGGGTATACACCTAGTAATGGGATTGCTAGGTCAGATGGTAGTTCTGTTTTAAGTTCTTTGAGAAACCTCCAAACTGCTTTCCACAGTGGCTGAACTAATTTACGTTCCCATCAGTAGTGTGTCAGTGTTCCCTTTTCTCCACAACCTTGCCAACATCTGTTATTTTCTGACTTTTTAATAATAGCCATTCTGTCTTTCTTGAGATGGGATTTCATTGTGGTTTTGATTTGCATTTCTCTAATGATAACTGCTTTGAGCATTTTTTCATGTCTGTTGGCTGCATGTATGTCTTCTTTTGAGAAGTGTCTGTTTATGCCCTTTGCCCGTTTTTTTAATACAGTTGTTTGTTGCTGGTTGATTTGTTTAAGTTCTTTATAGATTCTGGATATTTGACCTTTTTTAGATGCATCATTTTCAAATATTTTCTCCCATTCTGTAGGCTGTTTATTCTTTTGATACTTCCTTTTGCTGTGTAGAAACTCTTTAGTTTAATTAGGTCCCACTTATCTATTTTTGTTTTTGTTGCAATTGCTTTTGGAGACTACATTATGAAATCTCTGCCAAGGCCTACATCAAGAATGGTATTTTCTAGGTTTTCTTCTAGGGTTTTTATAGTTTTAGGTCTTATATTTAAGTCTTTAATCCACCTTGAGTTGATTTTTGTATATGGTGAAAGAAGTGGTCCACTTTCAATCTTCTGCTTATGGCTAGCCAGTTATCCTAGCACAGTTTACTGAATATGGACTCATTTCCCCATTGTTTGTAACTGTCAGCTTTGTCGAAGATCAGATGGTTGTAGGTGTACAGCTTTACTTCTGGGTTCTCTAACCTGTTCCATTGGTCTACATGTCTGTTTTTGTACCAGTCTCATGCTGTTTTGGTTACTGCTGCCTTGTATAGTTTGAAGTCGGGTAGTGTGATTTTCTGGCTTTGTTCTTTTTGCTTAGGATTGCTCTGGCTATTCGGGTTCTTTTTTTGGTTCCATATGAATTTTGGAATCGTTTTTTTCTAATTCTGTGAAAAATAACATTGGTAGCTTGATAGAAATAGCACTGAATCTGTAAACCACTTTGGGCAGTATAGCCATTTTAACAATATTGATTCTTCCTATCCATGAGCATGGAATGTTTTTCCATTTGTTTGTGCCATCTCTGATTTCTTTGAGCAGTGTTTTGTCATTCTCTTTGTACAGATGTTTCACCTCCCTGGTTAGCTGTATTCCTAGGTATTATTTTAACGGCTATTGTGAATGAGACTGCACTCTTGATTTGGTGCTCAGCTTAGCAGTATGAAAATGCTACTGACTTTTGTACATTTATTTTGTATCCTGAAACTTTACTGAAGTTATTTATCAGCTTAGGAGCCTTTTAGCAGAGCCTTCAGGGTTTTCTAGATAGAGAATCACATTGTCAGTGAAGAGAGATAATTTGACTTATTTTCCTGTTGGGATGCCTTTTCTTTCTTTCTCTTGCCTGACTGCTCTGGCTAGGACTGCTCTGACTGCCCAGGACTATGTTGAGTAGGAGTGGTTTATGTTGAATAGGAGTGGTGAGAGTGGGCATCCTCGCCTTGTTCCAGTTCTCAGGGTGAAAGCTTCCAGCATTTGCCTGTTCAGTATGATGTTGGCTGAGGGTCTGCCATAGATGGCTCTTACTATTTTGAGGTATGTTCCTTCGATGCCTAGTTTGTTGAGGTTGACTGCATTCTAACTGTGACCCGTCACATGAGGACAGGTGTGGAATTTTCCACTTGTGGTGTCATGCCAGTACTCAAAAAGTTTAGGATTTTTTGGCACTTCAGATTTTGGATTTTCAGATTAGAGATGCTCATTGTATATAATGTTCCCAGAAGGCAATCTGAAAAATTATGTCAAGGGGCACAAACACATGCTGTTCTTTGATTTAGCAATTTGATTTCTTTGAACTTATCCTAAAATTATTAAAGATATACACAAAGACTGTTGTACAAAGAATTTAATAAAAATGCTTCAGCAGTGTAAACCTGAAAACAACCTAAAAGCTTTGACAAACAAGGGAACAGCTAAAAAATTAGGGTGCAGTGATATGATGGAGTCCTCTGCCATCTTTAAATACAATGTTTTCAAATTACTTATGAAATAGTAAATGGTCTAAAAATATTAAATTTTGTATGGTATATTGTTTGCTTTAGTTTTACAATATAATGTATTAATAGAAATTTGAGATAAAGTAGGGCCAACCAATCAGGAGACATTTATTGCCATTGAAAAGATAGATTGTTACTCGCCGTTCCCAAGCGGAGTGGGCATGCCACACCACTGAAGGCGCCACAGGGGAAGCGCTGGGTCAGTCAGAGGAAGAGAGAGAACTGAGGGCAAGAGTCTTGATTCTGGTTTCTGAAGGAACAGGTGAGGCAGGCTAAACAAGCTTGGAATTGGCTACTTTGAATAATTTCAGCAGACTCTGGGGAACAGGGGCTGTCCCTACGTAGGGATCTGGTATCTGGCCCTGGGGTGATTAGGTTAGGTGGATAGTAGCTGAGACTGTATGAGCTCAATAAAAGAGATGGTTGGGTAGTGGGCTCTGGACTGGTTTATATTTGAAAAGCGCATTCAAGGGCAAATTGTGTACTATCTCTAGGTATTGGCTAATCCTGGGAGGGACAGTCCATGCAAAGTCAGCAAGCCCCAGATATCAAAGCATCAGAATACAGAAAATAAAAGACATGATTAAGGCATTTATATTTTTCTTAATTTACCTTTTCTTTTTCTACAACTAACACATATTACTTTTTTAATTCAGAAAAATAAGGCCAGGTGCCAGGGGCTCAAGCCCGAAATCTGAGCACTTTGGGAGGCCAGGGCAGGAGGATTGCTTGAGTCCAAGAGTTTGAGACCATTCTGGGCAACACAGTGAGACTCCATCTCTACAAAATACAAAAAGTTAGCAGGGTGTGGTGGCACACACCTGTAGTCCCAGCTACTCGGGAGGCTGAGGCAGGAGGATCCCTTGAGCATAGGAGGACGAGGCTGAAGTGAACCATGTGCATGCCACTGCACTGCAGCCTGGATGACAGAGCAAGACCCTGTCTCAAAAAAAAAAAAGGGGGGGTGGGTGGGGTCTGGGCATGGTGGCTCATGCCTGTAATCCTAGCACTTTGGGAGGCTGAGGCAGGCGGATCACCTTAGGTCAGGAGTTCGAGACCAGCCTGGCCAACACAGTGAACTCCTGTCTCTACCAAAAATACAAAAATTAGCCAGGCGTGGTGGTGGGCGCCTGTAATCCCAGCGACACAGGAGGCTGAGGCAAGAGAATCGCTTGAACCTGGGAGGAGGAGGTTGCAGTGAGCTGAGACTGAGCCACTGCACTTCAGCCTGGGCAACAGAGCAAGACCCTGTCTCCAAAAAAAGAAAAAAGAAATACACTAAAAAGTTTTCTTGTGTTATTCACAACCTTGGGCATTTCTTTGAAAGGATAAATTTATATCACTATTCCAAGAGCCATGTACACAGCCCTTCTTGTTTTCTAAACCAAAGAACAACTATGGACAGCTGATGCTATGAACTTTGTGTTGCTAAAGATACAAGACCTTGTTGAGCCACTTCTGTGGAACATCTTCATGTTTTCCCAAACAGTCGGGACAGGGAGTTTCTAATCAAATGCAAGATCCCAGGCTGACCCTTGTCCTGTACTGTGGAAGAGAGATCTCCTGGCAAAAGTATTTAGGGGACTTAAGAAAAAGCCTTCCACAAGCATCACCTGCCTACAGACGATTCCCTTTGTGGGCGAGGGATAACTATACTGATTTTTGAAAGTGGCAGCCACATGGCTTTGATCACCTACATTCCATACCTGATAACTGATTGAAAGCATCAGTTAGTGCTGTGTTTAATGCTTTAGAAATAACTGTGGCATCAAAGAGTCTACAAAGGGTTGTTGTTGGAGGCAAGGAACAGCCTCATAGTCTGCTAAAGTCACCTGCTTTTTCACAGGGGTGACTAAATAGACTTTGACAACCTATACCAATTTCTGAGGACTTTTCTAAAGGAAGAACTTCCTAACTGTGTGAACTTCATCAAATATCCACTGGTCAGGAGGCCTAGCTCAAGCTCAGGTGCAAGCCCCTGCCACAATGAAAACACTGTCCCACACCCGACATGAGGAGCTCGCCACCTCTGCTGACCATGGACTGAATGGCAAGAAGGCAGCAGCAGGCACAGCAAGAGCATTTTTGTCCAGCTGTTCCCCTAACTTACTGTGTGTGACTTTAGGCAACATTTACCCTCTCTGTGGTCATTTCCTCATCTGTAATATAGAAGTTAGAATAAAGACCAGACTTACCTCATAGAGTGTTTATAAGAAAACACTGAGATAAATGTTGAAGGATTTTGGAATCTCTGAACTTATGTTGGGCAGATATTCAGTAGTACATTAATTACTTGCCTGAGTTGAGTATAGTGAGCTTATGGCCAGGCATAAGATCCAAACAGACACTAGTGTGCCTTTCCATCCTCATATAAATGGTCAGACTGAAGGGTGTAAATATTAAAACTGACTGAGGTCTGAGACAAATTAAGGGGCAGAACTGCTGTGGAGCAAGATTAAATCAGAACTATAATGCCAGGTAATTCAGATTTCCACACAGAACTCCTCATATAATTAGTGAAATATAAATTTTTCCTTCCTCTTCTGAAGCCAATATGAAACCATCAATAATGAGACAAGCACATGATTCAAAATTGTAATCATTGCTGTGAATTAAAAGTAGTATGCTTGAGAATATTCAATATGCAAACTATCAACGATTTAATTATTGTACAACAGGTTTGGTTATTTTGTTCTATTGCTTTAAACCCAACTGTGGGCCCCACTGAGTTTAAGATGACATGAAATATGAAATACGAGGCATCCCCATCAGCCTCATCCCATGCTACTCTCACTAGTAACCCAGGCAATGGCCTCAGTGCACTGCATGATGCTGCCCAATCATCTCAGGTTCCCCCATGACTCTGATTCTCCTCGCCTGGAATTCCCTGTTCTCAAAGCAGGTTTACTCAGTTTATACTCATCTGTCAAAACAAAGTCAGATGTTATCTCCTACAAGAAGCCCTCTCTACCCACTGTTCCCCAACGTCAAAATCTCCCACCCTACTGGGGCCCCTCAGACATTATATAGCAGCACTTTGTAATGGATGCCATCATTGAGCTCATCCTGCTTCACTTAATTCTCTTTTTACTAATTGGTTTCCCTCACCAGGCACAGCTCCTTGAGGGCAGGAACCATGTGTTCTTATTCCTAGCTTAACACAATCCCAGACACACTGCCCACACTCAATAATTGAGGAAATGATGGATTATGCAATAATTTGTATTAAGTCAATTCTATAACTATTCAGAAAAAGTTAAATCTCTATTTCTTCCTATTTACTGTCATGAATTTATGATGGATGAATGAGCTAAATGTAAAGAAATAAAACCATAAAAAGTATAAGGAAAATATATATATAGGTGAAAAGTCATATAATCTTAAAGTGAGGAGTGGTTTTTGAAGTCTAAAAGGTGGCTTTAGGTAAGTTAAGCCACATCTGCACTGCTTTGTTATGTTGTCAATTAAGATTAAAAAAAAATAAATGTTACCTTTTTTTCTGTTAAGTTTAATCTTCTTTGGTATCACCCTATCAATTTTGCTACTACCCTATCAATATATTTCTGGATTCAGATTATATCTATCTCCTCCCTAAGCCTCCCCAAAGTATGCCATGTGCAAAAGTGACCACAAGAACATCACTATCTTCAAACCAAGCTATCATGTTGAACAAAAAAGCCAAAGAGAGAACAGCAGGTAATTTATTCACTATAGCCATATTCAACATAGGCAAAGTGAGAGCCCAAGGCAGAGTTATAGGGGAAAGTAAAAGGTTGACACGAGGGAAGAGATATGAATGGTTAGAATGGACTCAGGCAATCACTTAGCAGGTGGGAAAACTGAACTAATCTGGATTGGGGTAAATAGTCTGGGAGTAAAACTGTAAACAATGCCAAGGTGTCAGAGAGCCCCAGGGATTATGCTGTGCTAGCCTCACCATTTAAAATGAGCCACAGGGGATCTGGTTACCTGATTATGACATGTCTGTCAGACCAGTAAGGATGGGCCAGGGAATCTCCCAGGATTGCTCAATGCAACAGTACATATATTTTAGAGCATGTTTAAGGTAAGATGTGGATTTGCTTGCATTGCTCATACTGGACTGTGTACTAAAGGTTGCCTTAAAATCGGCAGGTGTCCTAGATCTCCTGCACAGTACATACTAAGGTTGGTTCTTCCTAGCTGATCCTAAGGGCATGGCACTCAGGATAAAACACAAACCAACTGCATGGGTGTGAACATCAGAAGAATAATGTTTATGTTTTAACCTTAGAATATATTCAAACCAGTTTTCCAGTTTGCAGTACAACCTCGTTGAAAGGATATTTTTTTTAAAAAAAAGCTAGTCTATTCCCCTATATGGATGGCCACCTGGTGAGTGGTACTTGTCAGCTGTGGTCCTACAATGTCCTGCAGATCAATTAGTAAATATTCCTCAAGCACCTACTGTGAACAAGATGCTGAGCTGAGGGCTGGAGATATGATGGTGGCAAAAGAGACTAATCCTTCATGGAACTCAAAAATCTAACAGATCCTCCTGTGTATCCTGGAGTTCTACCAGGTATTAATCAAAGGCTTTGAATGCCTCTGGTGGTATGGGCAAATGAAGGGGAAGGCCAAAATTATTGAGAAATAAGATCATTTATGCATATTAGTGAAGAAAATGCAGCGTGTAATCTTGAAGTTTTGATGTACATAAAATAGCCATATCACTTCCCTGTGTGACATTCAATGCCAAAGATGTTGGGTTTATCTCGTACTTGACTACTGCACTAAGCTACACTTAGTCCACCTAGTGTTGCTATAACAGAATATCTGAGACTAGGTAATTTATCAATAAAAAGGGTTTATTTGGCTCATGATTCTAATAGTGGGAAAGTTCAAGATGGGACATCTGCTTCTGGTGAGGGCCTCAGGCTGCATCCACTCAAGGTGGAAGGTAAAGGGGAGCCAGAGTGTGCAGAGATCACATGGGGAGAGTGAAAGCAAGAGGGCAGGGTGCACCAGGCTCTTTTTAGCAACCAGCTTTAACAAACAATTAGAGTGAGAACTCGTTTACCCTCAAGGAAGGACGTTAACCTATTCATGAAGGATCCACCCCATGACCCAAATACCTCCCATTAGGCCCCACCTTCAACACTGGAGATCAAACTTCAACATGAGGTTTGGAGGGGGCAAACATCCGAACCATCTCAACTACACACCTATGGTTTTGAATTTTAAGAGTCTTAAAGTATATCTTCAAAAACTGTGACATCAACTGGGAGCCACGGTCTGACAGCAGACTATGGGAAAAGAATGTCTTCTTCAGCATTGGTGGACAACAGCCACATAGGAAAAGTGAGAATCATGGCAAAGGGTGGGAGTAACACTTTAAAAACAAAGGTTTAGGCCGGGCATGGTGGCTCACGCCTGTAATCCTAGCACTTTGGGAGGCCAAGGTGGGTGGATCACCTGAGGTCAGGAGTTCGAGACCAGCCTGGCCAACATGGTGAAACCCCATCTCTACTAAAAATACAAAAATTAGCCGGGCACAGTGGCATGCGCACCTGTAGTCCCAGCTACTCAGGAGGCTGACACAGGAGAATCGCTTGAACCTGGGAGGCAGAGGGTGCAGTGAGCTGAGATTGTGCCACTGCACTCCAGCCTGGGTGACAGAGTGAGACTCCGCCTCAAAACAAACAAACAAACAAACAAAACAAAGGTTTAATCATCACATTCAGGAGATAAGATAAAGTGGGAATAAGTAAGAAGGTAAATCAAAGTTTATAAGACAGAAAGATCAGAAACATGGGAGGGAAATTAGTATGAGTTGGATTCGGACAAGCAGTTAAGAATAAGGACAAAAACAGTTATCAAGTCCAGTAGACTAAAATGGTTCCCAAGCTCATTCATTTGTTCACACATTGTCTCTCGTCTGATGGAACAGAAAAGTGAAAGGTTTTCTGGCTAATTTTTTAATCTATTATTTGATTCAACTATAATTATTCCCTTTTAAATATTTGCTTCAATATGGAAAAATAAACTAGTCTTGCTCTTAAAGATAAAAATTACTAAAAAACATTTGGAGAAAATCCTAAAAACATACCTGGTTTTCTTACTTTGCAATAAAAGATTAATAGAGGGGAAAAAGAACAAAACAAATTATCAGCCAGGTGTGGTGGGTCATGCCTGTAATCCCAGCACTTTTGGAAAGCCCAGATGGGCAGATAGCTTGAGCCCAGGAGTTGGAGACCCGCCTGGGCAACATGACAAAATCCCATTTCTACAAAAAAAACAAAAGTACAAAAATTAGCTGGGCATGGTGGCATGCGTCTGTGACACCAGCCACTCCAGAGGCAGAGGATGATGCAGGAGAATCACTTGAGCCCAAGGCGTGGAGGCTGCAGTGAACCGTGATCATACTATTGTACTCCAGCCTGGGCAAGAGTGAACCCTGTCTCAATAAAATAAACAATAATAAAAAAAGAAATTATCCTGTCCAATTTACTCATCTTAAAGCTGAGAAAACTTAGGCTCAGAGTGGTGAAATAATATGCCCAGCTGTGTTTTACATGTCAGTTTAAATAAAAGAAAATAAAAAAAACAGAACTTAAAACAGTTCTCATGCATGTCCCATCCTCAATTACTGCAGAAACTGAAAAGGAAAGAAAGACACCTAGAATGAATTTCAATGCCACTGCAGAATGCAGCCCTCCCCAGCACTACCTTTTAGCAAGTGAGCAGGGGGCATTTTTGGGGGGAAGCAGTTGCAGTTTGCACCAATTGAGGAAATCTATAAACATATTGTACCTGGATTTCAAAAAGACATTTTTCAAAGCTGGAGAGTAGTGGGCTACACTTTTAAGCTTTTCATGATAGCCTTGAGAAAAAAATGGGGATGAATTAAAAGAGTTTGAGGCAGAAATACCAGTTAGGAAGCCATCCACTGCCATGAACAGGAATGACCAAGAGAGTGATGAAAATGAGGACGACGTCACTACTGTAGGTGGGACCACAGCTGCAGCTGCTGACATCCCCACCACTGCTGCAAATAATATCATCTTTTACTGATTCCTGACACGCCAGGCACCATATGCTTTACATATTTTATACAATCCTCACAGGTCTATGGTGTTTACTATCCCCATTTAGCATGTGAGAAAACCAAGGCTCAGAGAAATAAAGCAACTTTGCTATGTCATCTTGGCTACACTACAATCCTCAGTTATTGTGTCAAACAGTTTTCTAGGTGTTGTTGTGAACGTATTTTGTAGATGTGATTAAAGCCCATGATCAGTTGACCTCAAGTGAGAGAGATTATCCTAGATAATCTGGGTAGGCCTGATTTAATCAGTTGAACAGTCTTAAAAGCAGAGCGGAGTCTTCCTTGAGGAAAAAGAAACTCCACCTGTGAACAGCAGGGTCCGTCTGTGCTGGAGTTCAGCCTGCCTTTACTGACAACCTGCTCTGTGGGTTTCAGTCTTGCCTAACCAGCCCCACAGTTGCATAAACCAATCCCTTGCAATTAATCTCTTAATATATATCTCCTATTGGTTCTGCTCTTCTGGTTGAACCTTGACTAATACACATGCCAAACATCACACAATCATTAGGTGAAAGACCTCAGATGCTCTCAAAGTCAAAGTAGGCCAGTATTCCACACTCCCTCCCAGAAGATCAGTTTTAGACATCAGCACTCCATAGAAATGGAACCACATCCAAATGCCTTGCAGACACTAAAGGAATGCAATCTAGGGCAAGGTTAAAAGCTCTGAAGGCCACTCTGCCTGGGTTCAAGCCCTAGTTCTGCCGCCTTAATCTTAGGCAATGTACTTAAATTCTCTATGCCTCAGTTTCCTCATCTGAAACATGGATTAACAATAGTACCTACCTCATAAGTTGCTGGGGATCTAATGAATTATACCATGCAAAGCATTTAGAACACCTAGCACATAGTAAATACTCAATAAAGATGAAGAATTTTAACTATTTAACAGAACCAAAAAGAGAATTATAGAAGCTGAGCTTTTGAAACAGGGCAAAGAGGGAGGAGAAACACTCATGATGACTATAAGGAAACTGGAGTCAAGGGAAACCACTCATTTGTGATGCAGAATGTAATCAGAGTGATATAAGCACTGAAGAATGCTTCCCTGACTATGACCATTCCAGAAAAGGCCAGCATTTCATAGGCATTATACCTAATCCAGGGATGGGCAAAAGCAAGAAACCACAGTTCATCAGAATTTCAGTTCTATATCAACACAGAAAAGTCCCCTAACTTGTTCTAGGCCTGACTGATACAAAAGAAGAATGCAGGGTTTAACATTTTCAACATCAGCAGGTTTTTCCAAAGGCACAAAAACGTATTTAGATTTGGATGGTCTACACCGAGATCATTGTTATATACTGGAAAATACAGCTCAACAAAATATAATTCCTGTAGGTTATGAGCAAATAGTAGACACAATGTAGGCCATTATCATGATTCACACTAGTCAAGCATGTTGGATATGCCAAATTCTACACAAAGCCTATAAAAGATACATGATTCCCGACAACTCAAGTAGCAACAAGATGAGACACCTTCCGTTTAACTTTGGGGAAAAAATGCATCAGTGTTCATAAATACATCTGTATATCTTTTCACTGAATGGCGATTATTCTAGAAAAAAGGAAAGAGCCTTTTTTTAAAAAAGGAAGCAGGACACTGCAACAAGCAAATGTTAAAGTTTTACAAATACAGTATAGATGTTAAATACAGTGTTTAAACACAATATAGACTTTAAAAGCAATAAAACCCAAAGTGATATTTATGGCTTTAATACGATCTCGGCATAATATGCCCTACAAACAATGATGATCACAATCTAAATTTGCTTCCATGTGCTTCCTAGAGAAACAGCGAAAGAAAATTATTTCTAAACCTTTTGCTAAATAATTTGCTCTGGATGCCTTCTAAACTTTGAGGTGCGAATTGAACATCCCTCTAAGATCAGGCTGTTTTGCTTATGACCACATACCCCAGAGGTAGCTATGATTATTGTTGAAAGGAAGTGATAAGCCAAAAGTGCTAGCATTTCAAGTTGAAAACTAAAGAAAAGGAGAATTGTCCTAAAGAAGCCACTAGCACCATGATGCATGGAGAATTGGATTTAGTCTCTCTTTTCTAGGTCAGAGTGGTTGCCTCGGTGACTTGTTACAGAAGAGATGGCCTACCTACAATGCAATATTGTTTGTTTCCATGGTAGTGTAAGCACAGCCTATCTTTGGGTGCCATGTAAACTCAAAGAGAAAATTTAATTCTCCAACCAGGGAGCTGGTACGTGTTCAAGGAAAGAAGATAGAGCTGGAAACTGTGTTCACTGTTTCATCAAAACTTTTCTCTAGATCTTTAACAAAACAATTATTAGTCTGGATAATCTTCTATTCCTTTTAACATCTATTGATAATGCCCTCTGTCAAGTATTCAATCAATTTCAATCCCATCTACTGTATGGATGGTATAGATTCAATCTACAGATCAGATGTATACTGATCTATCTCTTAAAATCTGCATTTCTATAAAATACACTTATAGCTTAAGTACTCTATTGGCACAATAACATATTCTCGCTATATTCTCTGCTTCTAAATAAGAGACAATGTATTTTGATATATAGAGTTTCTGTTTACAAGTAACTTCTAAGACAGAGTTCCTCTGCATTGTAACTGAATTAAAATAAGAACAACTGGCTGGGTGCAGTGGCTCATGCCTGTAATCCCAGTACTTTGGGAGGCCAAGGTGGGCAGATCACTTGAGGCTTGGAGTTCGAGACCAGCCTGACCATCATGATGAAACCACGTCTCTACTAAAAAAATACAAAATTAGCTGGCTGTGGTGGTGCACACCTGTGGTCCCAGATATTCGGGAGGCTGAGGCATGAGAATTGCTTGAACCCAGGAGGTGGAGGTTGCAGTGAGCCGAGATCACACCACTGCACTTTGGCCTGGGCGACAGAGTGAGATTCTGTCTCAAAAATAAAAAAAATAAATAAAAACAAAACAAACAAACAAGACATCTCCTGATGTCACCACACTTAGCTGTTTCCATGAGTGCTCTTTTCATATTAGGAGTATGTTCAGACACAGGGCACCGGATTTCTTATTGTTTAAAAACCTTCATTAAGTGTTTGTATCGGAAGTCAAGGCTGAGGGTCTTCAGCTTTGTCCCATGGAACTGCACAGGAAAAGTCTGTAAGTGCTCCAGGTTCTTTTCTGCGAGCATATCTGGAGCACGTACCCACATCAAGGGCACAGAGTGATGGGGATGGTAGAACAACATAGGTCATTATGCCGAATAAATGTGGAAAGTGCAGATACCTGCTTCCCAATAGGCTGTCACGGAAATAAATGAAATAGTACTTATGCTTTTCAGAAGAATGTGAAGTATATTTAAAGAGATAAGTAGCTGCGCTAACCAAATCCAGCAGCACGTCAAAAAGCTTATCTACCATGATCAAATAGGCTTTATCCGTGGGGAGCAAGTTTGGTTCAACATATGCAAATCAATAAATATGATTCATTGTATAAACAGAACTACAGACAAAAACCACGTGATTATCTCAACAGATGCAGAAAAGGTTTTTGATAAAATTCAACACCTTTTGATGTTAAAAACCCTCAACAAAATAGGTATTAAAGGAACATACCTCAAAATAATAAGAGCCATCTACAACAAACCCACAGCCAACATAATACCATCATACTGAATGAGCAAAAGCTGGCAGCATTCCCCTTGAAAACTGGCACAAGACAAGGATGTCCTGTCTTACCACTCTTACTCAACATAGTATTAGAAGTCCTCGCCAGAGCAATCAGTCAAGAGGAAGAAATAAGGGCATCCAAGTAAGAAGAAAGGAAGTCAAACTATCCCTTTTTGCAGATGACATGATTCTGTATCTAGAAAACCCTATAGTCTCGGGCCAAAAGCACCTTAAGCCGATGCATAATTTCAGCAAAGTCTCAGGATACAAAATCAATGTGCAAAAATCACTAGCATTCCGATACATAAACAACAGTCAAGCTGAGAGCCAAATCAGGCATGCAGTCCCATTCTTAACCACCACAAAAAGAATAAAATACATAGGAATACAGTTAACAGGGAGGGGAAAAATCTCTACAATGAGAATGACAAAACACTGCTCAAAGAAATCAGAGATGACACAGAAAATGGAAAAACATTCCATGCTCATGGATAGGAAGAATCAATATTGTTAAAATGGACTATCTACTACCCAAAGCAGTTTGTAGTTTCAATACTATTCCTATCAAACTACCAATGACATTCTTCACGGAACCAGAAGAAACTACTTTAAAATGCATATGGAACCAAAAAAAAAGCCCGAATAGCCAAGGCAATCCTAAGCAAAAAGAACAAAGCTGGAAGTATCACCATTGCCTAACTTCAAACTATACTACAAAGCAACAGTAACCAAAAAGCATGGGAGGGGTACAAAAACAGACATATAGACTATTGGAACAGAATAGAGAGCTCAGAAACAAGGCCACACACCTACAACCATGTGATCTTCGACAAAGCTGACAAAAACAAGCAACCAGGAAAGGACTCCCTCCCTATTCAATAAATGGTGCTGGGATAACTGGCTAGCAATATGCAAAAGACTGAAACTGAACCCCTTCCTTATGCCATATACAAAAGCCAACTCAAGATGGATTAAAGACTTAAATGTAAAATCCAAAACCATAAAAACCCAAAAGACAGCCTAGGAAATACCATTCTGGACATAGGAACAGGCAAAGATTTCATTATGCAAGACACCAAAAGCAATTGTGCCAAAAGGAAAAATTGACAAATGGGATCTAATTAAACCAAAGAGCTTCTACACAGCAAAGGAAACTATCAACAGAGTGAACAGACAACCTACAACAGAATGGCAGAAAACTTTTTGCAAATTATGCATCTGACAAAGATCTAATATCCAGCATCTATCAGAAACTTAAATTTACAAGGAAAAAACAAACAACTCCATTAAAACGTGGGCAAAGGACATGAAGAGACACTTTTCAAAAGACATACATGTGGCCAACAAGCATATTAAAAAAAAAGCTCAACATCACTGATTATTAGAGAAGTGCAAATCAAAACCACAATCAGATTACCACCTCATACCAGTCAGAATGGCTATTATGGCGGCGTGCACCTGTAGTTCCAGCTGCTGGGGAGGCTGAGGCAGGAGAATGGCATGAACCCGGGAGGCGGAGCTTGCAGTGAGCAGAGATCGCACCACTGCACTCCAGCCTGGGTGACAGAGCGAGACTCCGTCTCAAAAAAAAAAAAAAGGTCAAAAAGTAAGATACTGGTGAGACTGCAAAGAAAAGGGAATGCTAATACACTGTTGGTGGGAGTGTAAATTAGTTCAACCATTGTGGAAAGCAGTGTGGCAATTCCTCAAAGAGCCAAAAACAGAACTACTATTCAATTCAGCAATCCGATTACTGTGTATATATCCAAAGGAATATAAATTGTTCTATTATAAAGATGCATGCATATTTCATTGCAGCACTATTCACAACAGCAAAGACATGGAATCAACCTAGGTTCCCATAAATGGTAGACTAGAAAAAGAAAATGTGGTAAATATACACCATGGAATATTATGTAGCCATAAAAAGAATGAGATCATGTCCTCTGCAGGAACATCAATGGAACTGGAGGCCATTATCCTTAGCAAACTAACACAGGACCAGAAAACCAAATACCACATGTTCTCACTTATAAGTGGGAGCTAAATGATGAGAACACATGGACATACAGAGGGAACCAACACACACTGAGGCCTATTGGAAGGTGGAAGGTTGGAGAGGGGAGAGGATCAGAAAAAATAACTAATGGGTACTAGGCTTAATACTTGGATGATGAAATAACCTGTACAACAAACCCCTGTGACACGAGTTTACCCATATAACAAACCTGCACATATACCCTTGAACTTAAAATAAAAGTTAAAAAAAAGATAGTAGTAGTTCCCTTTTCAGGAAAGAAAAGATGAAAGAGAGAAGGGGCCCAGATAACTTGGAGTGAAGACTAAGACCTAAGAGACAACCATCTGGCAGGAACCAGGAATCAGTGAGCTTTCCGGCTTTCTTACTGATCAGAAATATGCCATAATTTGCCTTTCAAGGTGACTTAAAAGTTCTGTTGCCTGCCAGGAACCAAAAAGAAGATGCATGTATCTTTCCTTTTGTAGAGCAGGAAACTCACCTATGTGTAAGACAGGCTGCCTGTGTTCACTGTCCATGCCTCATCACAGACCTTGGAGGGGAAGCCCAATAGAAAATGATGAAACTTTTCAGTAGGCCAGTTCTTTCCTTTTCAGTTTTCCTATCCAAAGCCAAAGGATACTAACATCAATTCTTCTGTGCATGTCACTGGTGATTTTCCATTTCCATGCCTACTCTGTTCCCTGGAAGACCCCCTCCCAAACCTTTTTTTTTTTTGGCTGCCTCTCCAAGAGTTGTCTTTCCATCGATACTAAAATTAACCCCTTCTCTGAAAGCCTTCTGTGGTCCCTCTTTCATGAACTAGATATAATTTCTCCCAACTGTGGGGGAGGAGACTAACTCCTAACAGTTAGCCCATATATTGTACCATGTGCCTACCTTATATTACAAATATTTTGGCTGCATTTCTCACCCAGCCTAATAGATTTTGTAAGCTCTTTAACCCCTTCTCCTGCTTTATCCACTTCTGCTTCTCTGTTTGCCTAGTAAATAGTGCGTATTTAATGGGTCCTTTAAGAATGAACTAACCCTTTCCACACCTTAAGCAAACTATTCTTCATTCAAAATCTGCAAGCCTTTATTAAGCACTTAATAGGTGCAAGAAATTGGAGATTATAAAGCTGAGTAAGAACCAATTCTGGCCTCCTGGCAATGTGCAACTTAAGGGTGGAGCTAAGAAACCAAATAACTTGTGGCAGACAGGCACAAGTGTTATCATAGGCACACAAAAAAACTACAGTGTGAAAATAGGAGGGGAGAATAATTTCAATTTGGGTGACGAGGAGATTCTGGGAAGGTTGCATGAGGAAAAGGGGAAAATCATTTGTTGAAGGTCAGAGTTCATTAAACAGTTTGTAATCATTATCTCATTTAATTCCCAAAACAACCTTCCAAGTTAGGTATTTTTACCCCTATTCTACAGATAAGGAAATTGGGGCTCAGAGAAGTTTTAAAATTTGACCAAGTTTACAAAGCTGACAAGTAATGAAACCAGAAATCACAAGCCCAGTGGCCTAGTTCCAAAGCTTATATTGATTTTCCCACACCAGTTCTCCTCCTCCACACATACAAAAAAAGTGACATCTGCGCTCAGCCTTCAAGCTTGATTGGTTAAGATTCTCCAGACCCATCTAGAGGGAGGGCAGGGGTATTCCAGGAACAGCCAACAGCCTGAGGAAAGGCCTGGAGGTGGGAAAGTGTACATTATGTTGGGGAAAGGCAGGTTCCTTCACATAATTGAGTATAGGACATATCACAGGGGCAAAGGTGGAGGCACTTTGGTCAAGAAGGGTAGTAGATGATTCTCTACTTTCCCTGTGATATGCTTGGAAAATATGATAAAGTATATTTCTAATCTACTTAAAAATGTATGAAATGTTGTAAGTAAAACACTTTGAATGTCTTGGAAGTTATTGTTTTATCACAATAGTCTTAACCTTCAATTCTAAATATCCTTTAATGCAAAGCATAGAGTGGAAGAATGATTCTCTTTACATTTCCTTTTCCTTTAGACTTCTTTGTTTTTAATCTCGCTGTAATGGTACCATCTAGAGATTTAAACCATAAGATTAAAGACTAGAGAAATGAAATACAAATAATTTAGCTACATAAATGTCAAATTTCCTATCATGCCAACCATTTAAGTATTTTCAGGTGAGAATGTTAACACTGTATAACTGAACTGATTTTAAGAAGTTTTAAGGAAGTTTAAAATACTTTTTTTTTTTTTTTTTTTTTTTGAGACAGTCTCGCTCTGTCACCCAGGCTGGAGTGCAGTGGAATGATCTCGACTCACTACAACCTCTGCCTCCCAGGTTCAAGTGATTCTCCCACCTCAGCCTCCTGAGCTGGGATTACAGGCACGCACCACCAACGCCGGACTAATTTTTGTATTTTTTAGTAGAGACAGGGTTTCACCATGTTGGCCAGGCTGGTTTCAAACTCCTGACCTCAGGTGATCCACCTGCCATAGCCTCCCAAAGTGCTGGGATTACAGGCGTGAGCCACCGCGCCCAGCCAGGTTTAAAAATATTTTAAGTTAAAAAATTGGGTGGGTAAATGGGATATTATAGCCTAGTGTGATACAATGTAAACAGTATGTGTCAGGGACCAGTAAGTGTGACAGCACCTGAGTAAGAGAAGGAAACAGGGTGCGGCAGGGCATACATAGCTAAGTATTGCATAAATTATCAGTAAATATCTAGAAATACTACACGCTACTACAGAGAACATATCTCACCTGCAGTCCTAGCTCCAATAAGGGCTTACACTGAAGGCTCTTAGTTCCCACTGGCTCCTGCCACTGGGAAGGGGTGAGGCACTGGGCAAGGCAGGGGCTACAGAGGGCTGGGATGCTGAGAACCAGGGGAGCCACTACAGGTAGTAACCTTGCAAAAACCAGGGCAGGAAATCACTGTCTCACAGAACAGGCGGATGTCTCAGGTGCCCTTGCCTCCTGTAGGGCACATGGCACACTCTGAGGTCCCTGAAAATGCTTATGACCATGATGATGCTGACTAATGACCCAGACCCCAAGCACCCGAGTAACTCAGTTGTCAATGCAGAGAAGTGGAGGTCTTCAATTAAATGAGACAACTGAAAACTAGGGCTACCAGAATGAATTGTTATTTGCTCATTTATGATTTCCTGAACATGACACAAATGGAGATTTCAAAAGGATGCTACCTCAATGTTCACAGCACAGAACATCATGCTTTTTAGAACTAGGGAGTCATTTCACAAGGACAAAGTAAACTGAAATCACTGTATTCTCCTACTGATATTTTGGCTTTCCCTATATATTTTAAACGTTAGTTTTTGTTTTTCCTGGAGTCAAACTTTGATGGAGTGGCAGTCCCTCCCCTCCTCCCCTTCTCCTTCCTTCACTCTCTCCTTCCTCCTCCTTTCCCCTCTCCTCCTCTCTTTACTTCACACCTCCTCTCTTGCCTTCTCCCTCCTCTCACTCTTTCTCTCTTTCCTTCTCTATTTTCCTCCCCCTTAAATATGTGAAAAGTAATTAGCCCATCCTGGTTTATCTTGAATAATGCATTTCTGGCTGAAATTTTGCCCAAGGATCCATGCCAGTAACAGGAGCTTAGGCAAAATTGATTGGGACATGACGTTTGATTTCTGACTCACAAAGTAAATTTAAACCACTGTAATTGCAGAACTACATGTAAAAGAATTGGATCTTACACTATCATAGGTGAAAACATGAGCTGGTAAGAAAACGGAAGGTGAGAAAGCTGCCCCACAGAGGCCTCAACCCCAGACCATCTCTGGCAGTGAGTCTTGGAAATGTGCTGCTCCCCAAGACTGCCCTCTTCCTACCCCAAGGATTCTGGAATCATTTATTAGGAGGACACCCAGTCACTTGGCAGCATGCTCAATTTCGGTGTTTACCATCTAAAACTGATGGGGTGGGGAAACCCATAGTTTGGTTTACACTGTTAAAAAAACACAAAACAAAACAAAACAAAACAAAGCAAAACAAAACCTTAGGGCTAGTTTTGTAGATGGCCACCAACTGGCCCAGAGGCCTGTTTTTGTTTTCCCTCTGGGAATAGGGAGAAATAGTAAAAATACATATACATTTTTTCCTCCTAGAGGTTTCGTTGAGCGTTCTATTTTTTACTACTCTTTAGATAAGCAGGTGTCTGGAAGTGAGCACACTTGCTCATTAGCACCACCAAGTCAGATGGGAAAGAAAAGAAAGGAGTATGGGCGACAGCCATGGATTTTAACTCTAGTTCTGTCATGTCCTGGCTGTATAACTGTGAGCCAGCCTCAGTTTTCTCATCTGTGAAATGGAGATACTACCTACCTCACAACGCTGTTGTAAGACTAACAGAAGCACCCCTGTGAAATGTCTGTGACATCTTAGGTACTCATACCTGCGGGCTCTCCCAGCCCGCACAGAAACATTGCTACCCTTAATTAAGAAAATTTAATTTTTATTATTCCCAGCTTTACATTTGGTATGCAAAGAGCAATAAACTATTAATCTAAAATAGTTAGATAAATAGCATTAAACTTTATCTAAAAGCTTGTTGTAAGTTCGTAAGACTTATCTGGGGAATTAGTAGGTGCATTTTCTTTGAATTAGTAGGTGCATTTTCACTTCCTTTCAGTTTGGCCAATTTTAACTCACAAGGGACAACACTTTCTTAATGGACCAGACAGCACTCACCAATTTCACAAAGCAAATTGAAGTTGTAAATTAATAACTACATTAAGTTAATGTTTTATGAAGCACTTACTATTTCCTAAGTATTGGGCTAAGCATTTTATTTGCATTCATATCTCATATCTCATTTACTCCTAACAATCCTATAAGGCAGACTGCATAGTTATCTCCATTTTACAGATGGGGGAACTTAGACTAAGAGATTTCAAATAACCTGGGTGACACAGACAGTAAAGGGCAGAGCTCAGTCACAAGACGGAGCAGAAAGGGTGTCAGAGCTTATAAACACCACACGTGCCATCTTCTATTTTCAACAAAGGGTTTACCTAAGACTACGAATATTCAAATGATCGAATTTCTGAAATCGCCCCATGATGTAAATTCCCACAATTATATTAGAATTTCGAAAGCCACCTCCTCTCATTGCCTTATTTCAGAGAAGAATCTAAAACTCTATCATCTTATTCCAAAAGGAAAGGGGAGAATTAACTGCTTCCCTGAACTTCTCTGCCAGTCTTCCTTCAGTTATTTCTGTTTTCCTGCCTCTCATTTGTCTTAAACAACAGCTATTTTGTATTCATTCCGTAATTGTGAGCAGTGGTCCCAAAGGCCCCGTTGTAAGGAACTACAGAATACTGCCAGTGAATACTAGCGAGAAGGAAAAAGCACCGCAAACTTCCAACTCCATTCACAAAAATACCACAGAAATACATAATCGAACAAGCTAACTCCACTGACGGCTTTCCTGAAGCTTCAGCGGTGAAAGACACGAGCCGCCTGTCGCTTATGGAGGGCTGTCGCGGAGCGGGCTGCGATCCCGGAGTGTGGCCCCGCGTCCACGCGCACCTGCCCACCTGCGCGCTCCACCGCGGGGCAGCGGTTCAAGCCGGGAAGCCGCGAGTATTATCAGCTCAGAGGGGAGGGGTTCACAGGAACCGGGCTAGGTCCGAGGCTGCTGACAACTGGTTTACACAAAAGAAAGAAGAAATATAGGAAGTCCCCGCAGCAGTGCATGCCATGCCGACGCCGACGCGGGCGCCCAGCAGTGGGTGGAGGCGGATGCTCCCAGCGCCGGGTGCAAGGTCCCCCGCTGGCTCCCTTTCGCCAATGCGCCCGGCCCGGGACCAAGACACCGCGTCCTGAGCGCCGGCGGCGACCCCAGCTCCCCTCCCCGCGTCCCGCTCCCCGGGAGGACGCGCCGGGCGCCGCGCCGCACCTGTGCCCCACGGGGCGGCCTTGTCCCACCGCCCCTCGGAGGCGATGCTCCGGCCCGAGAGGACAGGCGCGGGCGCTTCCCTCGGGGCAGCGGGGGCAGACCTGGCGTCGCGGGGACGCCCCCAGCGCGTCAGACGCCGCGCGCCCACCTGGGGCCGTCGCCTCGCCACCGGCAACCTCACCTCCCGCCGCAGCCTCCTCTTCCGCCGCCATCGCAGGAGCCACTTGGTCGGCTCCGCAGCCCCGCGGCTGGCAGCATGGAGGAGCCCCGGGCCCGCCCTGCCCCGGCCCAGGCGGCGGCTCTGGAGCAGGGAAGCGGGGACTGGCGGGCCCTGCCGGGTGCCGCGGCGGCCGCCACCGCAGCCCGTAGGCGCGCACGGGACGCCGCCCCGCAGCCCGGCCGGCAGCAGCTACTGAGCATGCGGACTGGAGCCAGCCGCCCGCCGCTCTGGGCGCCGCGGGGCTTCCCGGCGGGAAAGAGACCCGGGCCAAGGGCGGAGTCGCTGCGGACACCGCCCCGCCGAGCCCTCCCGCGAGCAGCAAAGCACTAAAAGGCCAGTTGAGTCCTTCTAGCAACCACCCTATTGAAAACAGGCTTCCATGCTCATAGTAAGCTTTGTCCCAGCATTCCGAAGATTGCAGTTGTTAGACCCTCGGGGCAAAGGTAAAGGATGAATGAAGATAATTGCACGGTGGGTTAGCGGAGGGCACGGGGCTAGGGTTGGGGAGGAGGGTGCTGGACGAGAGACCCTGCTCTTTTCTGCTTAAGGAAGGGCTTAGCTGCAGAGACGAGAGTGTAGATGACAGAGAGAGGGTCCCGAGGAAGCCGTTTTGCCTCCTGGAACGGTTGGGTAAATCCAGAAACAAGATCTTTTGGGCATCACTTGACAGCCCTACATCCTATGGCCACGTGTCTAGAATACACTGGTTTGCTGCCCTCCCACTGGTCCCTAGACCCATTCCTTGGTAATCTAGTAGAAGTAAGTAAAGGAAAGTCACAGTAGAGAAGACACCAAATCAAACTTTGCAACCAGCCTAAAGGTAATAACTTTCCTACAAGGACTCAATTCCAACGTCTTAACCAGCACCTTATGTGTCCTCAGGGCAGTACTTAGGGCCATTGTGAGAGGCTGGGCAGAGGGTTTGGAAGTGTGTTCCCAAGCAGAAGTGGGCATGACAGGAGAAAACTGTTGCAGGCTTAAGCAGGGGCTAGGACTTTAGAGGTAAGGGAGACGTGCTGAAAACTGTGCTGTCCTCAACACACACCAAGACACATCCCTAATCAAAACCAGTCTTGAAACGTCTCATTCCTAGCTTTGACTTGGAACTCCACCCCAAATTCTACCAACACCAACTTCTCCTGGCAGCTAGAAACAGTAATTCCATACAGGGTTTCCCGAATGTGATCAAACCTTGGCTTTCCAGACAAGTGTACACTATTTTGAGGTGGTTTACCAAGGGGTAACAGGTAGAATTAATTAGACCTGGGCTTTAAGATCTGGGTTAAAATGTAAATACTATTCTATACATGGCCTTGCTTACAATGCATTTTCCCCCTTATCGGCTCAGTGAGCCTCACAACCTCTTTCTTAATTCCTGTCTTAGTAGAGAAACAGAAGTTCAGAGATGTCGAGTATTTTGGCCAGGATCACTCAGCTAGTAGATAGTAGAAGCAAGACCATAAAAGTTAGGTCTCCTTCTTAGGAGTTCCTATTGTGGTGTCCAGTAAGCTTGCCTGTGAATCATTGCAGTCCCCGTTTCTTAGAAACGATGATTCACTTCCACCAAAGCCTGAAAGCAAGAGAAGGGGAATCCAGAATCTAAAATACGAAAGCAGGAAGGGTAATAATGCACAAACAAAGCCGACCTACAGCATTCCATGGGGCACAACCCTTTCATTGCTTAATAGGTATTCCCCTTACTGCTCAGGTTTAAAGCCTGCTTGCTCTCTTTTTTTCTTTATGCTCTGGAGCTTTACTTTCTAAGACATGATTTTTTTGTTTTTTAAAGAGTAGCTATATAACCCATAGGATAAGGCAGAGAGACATATAATGTCTTGCCAGATGGATAGGAAGGTAATCTCTCATTTCCAGTGAGTGGTTTTCTCATATTTTCAACTTGGAAAAAAAAATGTGAGAAAGGTGATTGGATGATTTGTATAATAGAATGCTAGAGAATTTGTGTAATAGAATGCACACAGTTCCTTCTGGTCAGCATGGTTCCCCTGCCAAAAGCCCTGGAGCTGCCTTGCTCTCCAGGAATCATTGCTTGCCTTTCACTTAATTTGTTCATTAATTTTCTTTCATTGCTAAGTACTCAGGCAAGAACAAATATTTTAAAGGTGGAACAAATACTCCTTTGTCCATCTGGAATTAGGAACCACGGCCTCACAAGCTGTAAACTCCTGTCCTTTTAGCATTCTGCTGGGATTGTAACAATATAACTTAGATTAGAGAGGAGTCCCTAAAGCCACTTAGATATTGTATTTGGTCCAAGAACAACAACAACAACAACAACAACAACAAAAAACAACAAGATAGAACCCAAACCCAAAACAACAAAAAACCACACCTGCTTCAGAGTGTAATTAAATTGAAGATACTATTTCCAATGATGCATAACAATAAATAACACAGAAGCCAGGAAGGGGAGAGAAGAGGGGGTGGAAAACAACAAGGGGAAAAGAAGGCTGAACATATATTTATTACCATTGGGAACTGTACACTTAAAATGGTAAAGATGGTAAATAAAAAAAAAACATTACATAGGCCGGGCATGGTGGCTCACGCCTGTAATCTCAGCACTTTGGGAGGCCACGGCAGGCGGATCACGAGGTCAGGATGTGCAGACCGTCCTAGCTCACACGGTGAAACCCCGTCTCTACTAAATATACAAAAAATTAGCTGGGTGTGGTGGCGGGCACCTGTAATCCCAGCTACTCGGGAGGCTGAGGCAGGAGAATTGCTTGAACCCAGGAGGGGGAGGTTGCAATGAGCTGAGATCACGCCACTGCACTCCAGCCTGGGTGACAGAGCAAGACTCCATCTCAAATAAATAAATAAATAAATAGCAACTACCCATTATTGATTTCCTAAGTGACTGGGGAAAATAAATTATTAATGTTTAAAACTACCTTTTCTTCCTACCCTGCCCCCAGCATCCTGTGGAGGGTGAATCCTGGGGAAGATGCTTGGATTTGCTGGGCAGATTGATGAGTGCAGTTTGGAGAAACAAGTAGGCCAACACTCTCCCATATGTTTAGAGAGAGAAGAGGATCTATGGTGGGCTTCTGGTATAGGAAAGATGAGCTTGAGCATGGTCTAAGGGAAGGAAAAGCAGAGAGGTAATTGGAGGACAGAGCATTCCTGAGACAGAGAGGGTGGTAAAGGAGGTGGTGCAGCTGCCTTAAGGAGAGGAAATTTGCTATCTTTTTTTAATTTTAATTTTTTTTTTACATAGAGTCTCGCTCTATCGCCCAGGCTGGAGTGTAGTGTGATTTCGGCTCACTGCAACTCTGCCTCCCTGGGTTCAAGCGATTCTCATGCCTCAGCCTCCTGAGTAGCTATGATTACTGGCATGTGCCACCACACACAGCTAAATTTTTTGTATTTTCAGTAGAGACGGGGTTTCACCATGTTGGTCAGGCTGGTCTCGAACTCATGACCTCATGTGATCTGCCTGCCTTAGCCTCCCAAAGTGCTGGGATTACAGGCGTGAGCCACTGCACCTAGCCAGGAAATTTGAGATATCTTAAAGCGGTATTTAGGGAACTTCATTGTGTAATGCAAACCCTCTTACATTATTTCCCTGGAAAATAACAACTTCAGCAAAAGCTGCATTCATTTTCTCAATGCTTTTGGAGTCGTATTTATGTTTTTATTAAAAGTGAAAACATTTTGAGATTGGCCTTAGGTGGAAAGCAGGGCCACCCACAAAAATAGTCATTTAATTAACTTGTTCACATGTATTTATTGAGCACCTGCTGTGTGCCAGGCACTGTTGTAAGCACTGACTTCTGTATTTTACCTACTGTGCATCAGTTACTTTATATATATATATTCTCACAAAAACCAATGAGCAGGTATTAGTTTCTTTTTCTGTTAGCTCAGTGGTTCCCAAAATTCAATGTACATGAGAATGTGCACAATTTTAGACCCACCCCCAGAGACTGATTTAGTAGGTTTGGGGTGAATCACACTAAGTCCTTATTTCAAATGTGCTTCCTAGCTGATTTTGAAAGTTGCTCTGAGTACTCTCATCTAGGAAATACTGCTTTAACTTATCAAAAATCAATTTTCTTAAGCTGGGTTGTTGCAGTATGGTATGTACACCGGGGAAGCAGCGGGGAGAGAAGCAGTATTTCTTAGGGACAGGAATAGCAATATACTAAAATTCTGAGCAAACTGCAAGGAAGGACAAAACTTAGGACAAGAATGAGGGAATAGTTGTGCACACATCTACTTTTATGTGGAGTTGCTTACACTTTTTCCCTTAGGGATTATGCGTTTGTATGTGTGTATAAGCATCAATAACTCAACTGATGTTTACTTTTACAGTTTTTAAACACTCTTAAAGCAGTTATGGTATCCCAAGTCTTCCTCAGTCCTCTCGGTATTATATACAATCATACAAGAGGGTTCTCCAAGTTCTGTTCCTGATTTTTTTACCCAAGAAGACAAAAAGGCTGGATGCGGTGGCTCATGCCTGCAATCCCAGCACTTTGGGAGGCCAAGCGAGCACATCACTGAGGTCAGGAGTTTGAGACCAGCCTGGCCAACATGGTGAAGCCCCGTCTCTACTAAAGATACAAAAATTAGCCAGGCACGGTGGCAGGAACCTAATCACAGCTAGTCGGGAGGCCAAGGCAGAATTGCTTAAACCTGGGAGGTGGAGGTAGCAGTGAGCCAAGACCACGCCATTGCACTCCAGCCTGGGCGACAGAGTGAGACTCCGTCTCAAAAAAAAAAAAAAAAGATATTAGGCTGAGTATTGACAGTTTACTTTTCCTACCATGAGTTTCTCCCTTTTGAAGAGACTTACAAGTCTTCCTGTGTTTAGGAGTTTGATCATGAATGTTAAGAGGTAAAGTAATTCAGATAACTTGATGGTAGTTTAGCAATCTCACCTGAGAAATGTTTAATTTTCATTAGTCAGAGATCATCTTCCCAATTTTGACAAAGCAATTGAGCTAATAGTAATTAGACCACCCCACCCTTGGCTGGATCTTGGGAGGAAATAAGTTGATCAGGGTCCCCATTTCTGATATGAGCTCTAGAGGAGATGGACCAATAGATTATCTACTCTGATGAATAGGATCTGGGAGGAATGGAAAAAGCACTAAAAAGACCAAGGCCTGTTTGTATGATGTCCATCTTCCTGTATGATGTCCAGAGACCCAATCCTGTTCTGTGAAAAATGTTAATGGACCAACCTTCAGTTCCGATGTAGGCAGCAGATCCAACACCACAATCTAGGTGCCGTGGCTTCAGGTAAGAATCATTGCAATAAACCTGTGTGGCATCATCTTGATTACCTTGTAGTTTGTCGAAAGCACCCTAATTTGGTTCTGGTATCATGTGGCCATGTTCTTTAGGTTAGTCTCATCCCAGTAGAAGGGACGTGATGCTTGATTAGTTTTAAATCAATTGCCCATCAGGTACTGGTTTAGGACTACATGGATGGCACAGTCATGGACAATAAGATGTGAGGGTTACTTTGCTTAGAATGCTTCTGGAAAAGATTTTCTTTGCTCTTAAAAAGTGGAGATGCAAGGCCGGGCATGGTGGCTCATGCCTATAATCCCAGCATTTTGGGAGGCCGAGGTGGGCAGATCACCTGGAGTCAGGAGTTTGAGACCAGCCTGGCCAACATGGTGAAACCCTGTCTCTACTAAAAAAAAAAAAATTAAAAAAAAAAAAACAAAACTAAAATTAGCTGGGCGTGATGGCGCACACCTGTAGTCCCAGCTACTTGGGAGGCTGAGGCAGGAGAATCGCTTGAACCCAGGAGGCGAAGGTTGCAGTGAGCCGAGATCGCGCCATTGCACTCCGGCCTGGGCCGCAGAGTGAGACTCTGTTGTTTTTTCTTTTAAAGAAAAAAAAAAAAAGTGGAAATGCAGAAGTATTTCTCTTTTTAAGGCCTTACCTGTTGTGTGAGGATTTGATGCTTAGAGTCTCTGTAGTCATCTAGCTTCTCTGAGAAAACAAGACCAAGGACAAAGCCAACACCCTTGTCATGACAAAGTAGAGAAATGGAAAACAGGGTCTTGCTATGGTTGCCCAGGCTGGCTTCAAGGGATCCTCCTGCCTCAGCCTCCTGAGTAGCTGGGACTACAGGTGCATGCTCTTGGATTCCTTGATGTTTGTGAGATGCTAAAATGACTACTCTGGAAGCTATCTTGTGTCTTATTGTTACATAAGATACTCGCTTTCCTTATCATTGAAGCCATTTTTACTTGTGTTTTCTGTCACTTGTGGTCAAAAGTATGCAAAGTAATAACTCTGGCCCTATCACTCCATGTATACTCCTGAGATCCTAGAAGCATATGAGTTGTCAATGAAGTTAATTTGTCAATGGAGTTCACTCTATGATTTGGAGGAGTAGGGAACACTGGACTTGGGTTCAAGGGCAACTTATTACTTGTGTTTTAGGCAAGTCACAATCACTCAGCCTCATGGTCATCTATAAAATGATGGTAATTATGTAATTACAGAGTAGTTGTAAAAAACAAGTGAAGGCATTTTGTGTACAAATATAAGTTCTTTGTATCACTAGATGTTTTTGAAAGATGAATTTAGAGTCTCCGAGTTTGCTGTAATGCCCAAATTTTAACATTCAGTGTTTTCAATGTTGTGTCTGACAGTGGCATTATTGAAATGATGTATGTCAGGGAACAGCTGGAGAACAATGAGGCTGAATGGGATTCCCACGGGCTTCCTCAAGGCTCAGTGGAAAAAGTCATGATGATTGTCAGTGTCTTCCACAGCACGGGAGGTAGTGGTACCTGGGCCACATATTCCTATGCTATTTTGAGGCATTTTCAATTTAGTGCTTGCTAATTGGTTTTGACCAAGTTGGATAGTTGTATATAAGCTATGCATCCAATAAGTACCTGAAAGTACAGCACAGTTCGTGTAGCCTATATGTTTTTAGCTACAGATTTGAATGGAGATTTTAAATACAAACTTCAAATATTTTGTTCTTGATGTGATCTTCAAGTGTAAAAGTTAGACAGTAATTTACATTAACTAAATAGTCTTTCTTGAGTTTTGGGTAACACCTATCTCAAAACTCAAAAATAAAACCAAAAAACTTCATCAACAGAAATTTTGTAAACATAGTTTTTATTCTTATCTTACCTTCAATGAAATTTTGTCCTCATGCCACCAAAACATTTTTGAAACTCAGTAACTGAACACCAAACTCAGTAGCCTCATGATTACTTTTCTAGACAATTGCTGAATTATATTGCTTTAAAAAAATAGCTGAGATATATTTTTATTACTTTATTCCTTTTTAAAGCAGCAATATCCCCTCACATTTTTTTCATAAAAATCTAAAATATCTCTAGTAGTCCCAAGTGTCTCATATTTATATTTGTTCTAAGCGTTTGTTTCATTAAGATTTTTCAGAAATAAGTGCACTTCTAAAGAGAAAGTAAATTTAAATAAACACAACAGGAAAATAATCATGGGTTGTAGCAAAACAGTTATTTTGAATGTTCTGAATTTTAACAATTCAAAGGAGAATGTGTTTGGTAGCCAGGGACCTCTATGGACTAAATTCTCAATTCATTTATTTGTAGATCAGCAAAAGACAGATAGCTGCTGCTCCTGTCAGTAAAGACTGACTGATTGATTGTCTAAGGTTTTATACAATAAAACACCAAAAATAAATGTACTTAAAATATTTTAAATTTAGAGATTTACATAAAAATATGCAGGTGTTTAAAAAACAGAAAAAGTATAGAAATAAATGAAACCCTATCTTAGGCCTTACCAACCAAAGAACATTTTTAATACTCCACACTTATTTTCCATTCACTAACTAGCTTATTAAATCAGCTACATATTGTATTCAGAAGTGGCTGGTTTATAAGCAATTCCTTATTTTCAGACAGCACAATGCTTCAATACATTTAAAGATTTAAAGCTATGTTAGTAATAAATGCATAAAAGAAAAATAACATAACTTGCTTTAATACAAAGGTTTTTAATAAAAAAGTCAAAGTCTACATTAAATCAGGAAATTGATAAATCTGAATTATACAAGCTTTCTATATACTTAGAAAAACCAAAAACACACGGTTTATAATAAAACTCTTTTAATTCAAAATAGAGTCTAATTTAAAGAAAATGTCATTATGCCCAGTTGACTAGATAGGGTTTTGTCATTTAAATTAAATTATTCACCTGAAATATGGGAAATATATAATAGAGAAAATTCAATCTCAAGGGTACTTTGCAAATTATCTAGTTAATTTGCATCATGAATCAAATTCTTAGCTTCTAAAGGGCAGACACAGTCTTTAATTGCTTTTAGATAGGCACTTAAGAAATGCTTTTGATGAGGAGAAAACCCCAAAGATTGTGAATCACTCTATTAACTCCAGGGAAGAATGAGACTCTCAACAAAGTAGCTTTCCAGAACTACCCTTCCAGTGCCAAGAAAGTAAAACTATTTGCAAGCTCTTTCTGGTAATAAGAATGAGGGAACTCAAAACAAAAAATGCTCTATTATGCAATTAAAAAGTAAACTTAGGTAAATCAGTTTCTTTTTATCAATCTCTGTCAATTTGAATTAACGGTATTTTTCAATACCATTTCAAGAATAGTTACCATACTAGAACTAGACAATGTTGCAATTATCTCATATCTTACCTATTCATTATCACACTAGCAAAACAGTCCTTTTTAAAAAAAGGGGAGCGATGTGGGGTGAGAAAATCTCATAAACCTCAGCAAAAGTTAATATTATGTTAATTAAAGGCAGTTATAATTAGAAAAATTAGAGTTAGTCACATTGAGAAATCCCCAGTTTTTAATAGCTCTCTTTCCTAAATACTCAAAAAATCCAGACTAGAAAAATGGAAGTGAACTGTTAGATAAACACGTAAGTACTCAACAAATATTTAAAAAGAAACAAACCAAAAATGGGGGAGTTGGGGGAAACAGGATGGCCTTATGAAACACTGTGGAGCTACCCAGCAGCAACATTTATAAAAGCTTGTGTAGATTTGCATAATGCTCCTATGCAATTCTTCCCCATTAGGAAGACATTCCTACAAATAATTCATCACTTTAGATTTTGATCATAGATCATTTATAATGGTTATCATGGTTGTATCTTTAAAAAATTTCATCCATTAACAGTTATGACAAACATTAGGCCATTCTTTGCTAGTATATTATTCCTCAACTATTACTAATGAAACCAAAACCTCAGAGTTGTTTGAATTAGAATTAAAATATTAAGCTAGAAAAGATTATTTAATTCTTAGAGAGATACCCAAAGAATTTGATGCTGATATTATCTCCCCTATCCTCTCATCACAACCCCCTGGCCTGCATTTACTTCCTTAATTCCATCTATATTCACCACAGTGATGTAGCTAAACAAGAACAATATTGCCCTTTAATAAGCTGACCTCTATCAAAGATCTGTCAGGTCTGAATACAGCATGCCCACAGGAAAGGAAAATTCTACTCAGTTGTGAACATCCACTCTGTTCAAGATCTTTGGTACATTTGGAGCATAAGAAAATAATGGCACAATAATACAAGTACTATCAAAGGAAAAATTTTCATCAAAAGAAATAAAAGTTAACCAGCCATGATATGTAACAACTTTCTAGAAAACCAAAGTAAATAGCTTTTTGTTCTCTATAAGTCCATTTACATGATAGAAGTTTGACATTTAAAAAAATAGTTTAATAAAAATACACTAATTCTACAAGCAGCCTTCATGGTCATGTCTTAAATTCAACTCACCATAATCAAATTAAAATAATGCCATGTCCTCTTGTTAAAAAAAGAAGTTCTCTTGTCACAAGAAAATCAACTTTACATGTTATATAATACAGTACATCTCCCTATGAGTATACAGACTACGTATATGAAGGTCATCAGTATTTCTGAATGCAACGTAAATATATTAGTGGAGTGCTTGAGTGAAGGTGTTAAACTTTGTCTTCCTTATTATAAACTTGTCACTCCTTACTGTGAAGTTTGTGTAATAACTTGATGATAAATTCTATTTTGTAAAGAACCAGTGAATTTCTTTTTAAATCTCTTAAAACCATTACAGAAATTGTCTTCATATATATTCTACAGATGTCCAAACCAATAGGGCAATGTTCTAACACCAACTATGGAAGATGGCTTTTACTGATTATCTAGACCCATAAGATTTGCAGTAAAACATCAATACTGCAGTGTTACCTACAGGTTAGCCTATGTTGCTTTAAATGATATGTGTTTCTCCTGAATTGATTAGAGGTGTTACAGTTCAAAGCCACAGCACACACAGGCAGAATGGACCTTAATACGCATGTAGGCAGTGCAGTTAGAAAGGGATGTCTGTTCCTTTTATTCCAGTACCTTCATATAATAAAGTTAACAAAAATAATAAAATATTAAAAAAAAGAGCCAGCTGGCACTGCCAACCAATTCCTATAGTAGTCTTAGAAATCCTAATCCTGTAGAATTTCCTCTTGTAGTCAATAAGCACCACCATCTTCAGGAGTATTTCAGTGTATTGTTATCTACGCCAAGCAAGCCTGGTGATGCAGCTACCTGAGTTCTCTTGGTTATGGGTGAATGTTATCTTCATTCATAACTTCCCAGCTTTCATGTAGGTGGGGATAGAGCCACGTTGAGTCAACCCTTCAAACCTTTTATAGGTATAATTGAGAAAAACCCAGTCTTTGGATTTGTAGTCCGGTTCTGTGGTATTTGGCACTAGAAAGAGAAAAAATAAAGGAATTTCATTAGTGAAATGCCATCATCTTCAAAGACTTTTAATAGGGTTAGTTACATTACAGATTGTCTTACCTGGTTGTAAAATATCAGATTCAGGGAAGTCATCAAAATTTGAAGTATCATCAATGCTTTTGATTTCTATAGGGATTGCTGCTGGCCTTTCCCTATAAAAAGGTATTAAGTATGCATGGTAACTTTTCTTGAACTCTCAATTTCCAACAAATAATTCTACTTGTAAATTCTGCATACTATTCTACAGATACTAGAAAATCCAAGGAAATTTATTGTGGATTTGAGATTAGTTAAAGGGAGTTCAAAATAGTTGAGTATAATTTTTTATTAAAATGTTTTCATTTACTTAGAATTTTAAATATTTTTTTAATTTTTGGGGTTATGTGGTAGGTATATATATTTATAGGGTCCATGAGAGGTTTTAATACTGGCATGAAATGGGTAATAAGCACATCGTGCAGAATGGGGTGTCCATTCCCTCAAGCATTTATCCTTTGAGTTACAATCCAATTACATTCTAAGTTATTTTAAAATGTACAATTATTATTGACTATAGTCACCCTCTTGTGCTATCAAGTAATAGGTCTTATTCATTCTATTTTTTTTGTATCCATTAAGCATCTCCACCTACTTGCCATTTTTATATCTCTGTACCCAAGGCTTTCTCATCCTATTTTTTTAAGTGGAAAAATGAGCTAATGAAAAGTAAAAGAAGAGGTTTTATTTAAAAGATTGTATAATTGTATAAAGTATTTGAGATATTATGAGGACAGGATCCTTCTTAATTGATTTAGGAATAGAATTCTACTAGTAGACAATCCATAAATTAAAAGTCATTTGGGAAAATAAGGGGCACATAGGTGAAGGGACTATATATTTGTGATGAAATCTGCATGCAAAAACTTCTGTCATACAAATTTTAAGAGAATCAAAGATACTCAGTTAAAAAGAAACCAGTCATGAAAATGCCTTCTTATCATGCTAAAAAGTTTAGCTATACAAATGGTTAAAAGAAGCTATCAGTTTTTATTGCTTCTGTTTTTTCAACAAATATTTATTGGATTTATTAGGTGCTAAGTTTACCAAATTATTTAAAACCATATATATTTTTTACCAGAATTATTCCAACTCATTTATACTTAGTATACTACTTTAATAAACCTAGTTTAGAGGAAAGAACCCTGGAGGCCTGAGAGCTAACCTTCCTTGTTATTAACTAGCAGTATGACCTTAGGCAGCCAAATCCCTGCTCCATGACTGTTCCCTCATTATAAAACCAAAAGAACTGGCAGTCTCTAAGCATCCTTCCCACTGTAAAAGGGAGGGTATTCTAGTTCTATTCAATTAAGTTATGTGTGTATAGTATTATACAGCATAGTGGTTAAGAGTTAGGCCTCCACCAGGAGAATGGCGTGAACCCGGGAGGTGGAGCTTGCAGTGAGCCGAGATCACGCCACTGCACTCCAGCCTGGGCGACAGAGTGAGACTCCATCTCAAAAAAAAAAAAAAAAAAATTACTAGCTGCAGCACTATAGTCACATTACTTAACTTCTCTGTGCCTTAGTTTCCTCACTTGTAAGACAGGGATAATAACAGTTCCTATTTTATAGAGCTTATATGAGGATAAGATGAGAAACGCAAGTAAAGTACTTAAAACAGTGCTGGACACAATAAATGATTTTTAAAAATTAGCTATTATTACAACAGGCAGAGTGGGCTAGGCGCCTGTAATCCCAGCACTTTGGGAGGCCGAGGCAGGTGGATCGCTTGAGCTCAGGAGTTCAAGACCAGCCTGGGCAATTGGGCAACATGGTGAAACCCCATCTCTACAAAAAAAAAAAAAAAAAAAAAATCAACAAAATTAGCTGGGTGTGGTGGCACATGCCTATAGTTCCAGCTACTTGCGGGGATGAGGTGGGGGGATCATTTGAGGCCTGGAGGTCGAGGCTGCGGTGAGCCATGATCATGCCACAGCACTCCAGCCTGGGCGACAGAGTGAGACCCTGTCTCAAAAAAATAAGTAATAATAATAGGCAGAGTGCCTAGCACACAGCAGGTTCACCAGTGAAGAGCTGTACCAAGGAAATGACACATAAGCTATCTTGGAAGATGCAAAGGAGCCAGCTAGGCAGGGTAGGGGTAGAGGCAGCAGGGAGAGGGCATTTCAGTCAGGATGGATAGCAAATAGCAAAACTTAGAGGTGGGAAGAGGAGTAGGAGAGGCCATCCAAGACGCAACTCCTGCAGATGAGGCAATCGCCATATCCTGCAGTCCTAAGAAAGCAGTGAAGGCTTCTTAACTGTATTCCAAGTGCAAAAGGCCACAGGAAAGTGGCATGGCCAGATTTATGCTTCTAAACTGTTGCTGTGTGGAGAACAGATCAGAACTACCAATGGTAGTTTGGCCATAAACTGAAAAAAGCCAATGCTCACAATTAACAACTGTAAGCAAATTCTTAAAAGTTACTTGTATTATTTAATGCCCAACCACCGTTTAAAGAGGGACTGTACCTTATTATAAATTAATTAAGGAGACAGTATGTGGTATATTACAGCAAGGACAAAAATGAGGGGTCACTGTGTGAAATGTAAATACATGTTTCATGTGCTAACAGCCTTCACTGTGAATATGAATATAAGAATTTAAACAGCTTCCCAATGTTCTTCCCTGAAAGTGGATGTTAGCCTAAAATGAGTCATCAAGCTGTAGCCACAATAGTCCCACTCACTTACATAATCCAGAAAACACTGCACTTAATGACATTATATGTTACTTTTGTATTTAATCTAGCAGAATCAGAGGTAAATTAATTGCCAACTCTAGAAATTTGTTTTTACTCAGACCTTTCCCATTCAAAGCCTAGGAACATACCTTATGTGCTCCCAGTCGACACCTTCAAAAAAGGGATGACCTTTTATTTCTTCTACTCCACTATTTCCAATTCTGTTTTCAGAATCAATACAAAATCTACAACATGGAAACAGAGAAATTATCATACACAAGTTACATCTAAAGTATTCTAGCTGCATTACTTCAAATATTTCTTTTTTAAAGAAATATAATGTTTTTCTTTTATTGATGTTAACTATGTTTATTGTAGGAAATGTGGAAGAAAATAAAAATCATCTGTAAGCGCACTGTTTAGAGATAACTACTGTAAATATGCTAATCTTTTACAATATTAAAAATACTGTGTTGCTACCATAGTTACTATGTTAGGTCTGCTTTTTTTCACTTGATATACTGAGAAAATTTGCCAAAGTCATTAAATATTTTTCAATAAATTTTTTTTTCGTTTGTTTGTGAGACGGAGTCTCGCTCTGTCACACAGGCTGGAGTGCAGTGGCGTGATCTCAGCTCACTGCAAGCTCCACCTCCCGGGTTCATGTCATTCTCCTGCCTCAGCCTCCCAAGTAGCTGGGACTACAGGCGCCCGCCACCTCGCCCGGCTAATTTTTTGTATTTTTAGTAGAGACGGGGTTTCACCATGTTAGCCAGGATGGTTTTGATTTCCTGACCTTGTGATCTGCCCAACTCGGCCTCCCAGAGTGTTGGGATTCCAGGCATGAGCTGCTGTGCCCAGCCAATAAATTTGTTTTCTAAAATTTACATATAGAGGTATTATAGACAGTCTACTATTGAGCCAGTCCACTACTGTTGAACATTTAAATAGTTTTCAATTTTCACTATTAAATACCATGAAAATCATAGTGTACCTAAATCTTTATACGTATCTGATTATCTGCATAAGCGAAATCCCTAGAAGTAGAACTTCTGGGTCAAAGGTCATACATAGTTTAGGGATTTTAAAAAAATAATATGCTGCCAACTGGCTATTCCCACAAGTTGTCCCAATTTATATTCCTTCCAGCCATTCACAGCAGTACCAAAACACTTCATATTAGTTGAGGAACACATGGAATTTTTTGCTTAGAAGATTTTACATATATACTTTTCATGACAGGAATCTGCTATTAACATTTTCCTTTTTCTCTTTAATGGAATCAGGTCATTGCATTCTAACAGAAGTGACCTTTTGCTTTTATATATATCAGTAACAGAAGCAATACAAGACTTCCTCCCTCTTTTTAATTCCTACGTTTTTTTCTGCATACTTCCTTTTAAGAGTTTACATTTTTAAAAACACCTTTATTGATCTCTTTGACTGTATACATCAGTGGTATCCCCTCTTCCCCCACAAAAGTGAAATGAGTCTTTTAGGTTCTTAGGAAGTTTTAAGACACTATGAACTCCTCTAGGAATTTAACCACTAACCTGAGAATTAAGTCCTTGGCTTTCTCAGATATAGGTACCTCTGGAGGAAATACCAGAGTTTCTTTCCAGTTCATCACTTTTCTGTACGTTTCTTGAGGTGTTTCAGAGCAGAAAGGTGGATATCCTATGTATCAAATAAATCAAAAATGTTTCATCAGCTTTGTGAGCAGTGAAGTTTATACCCACCAAACATGTGCGACAAGAAACCAAACAACCCTGAGTGCTCTATTTAACAGTCAAAAATGCCACCATTCATCAATTTACAATCACGTTGCTAATAAAGTCAATAAAATAAAGGATTGAAAGCACTGCCTCCCCTTTTACCTGAAAAGCTATGTAGATAACCACTTTTATACGTGGGAGTTTGGGTTAAATACCCACCTTCCTGAAACAGGATCCGTGGGGAGCTCACTGGTATTGATCAGTATGTATTTAACATTGGGGGAACATCAGAATTAAGCTTAAAAGACTTCAAATATTTTAGTCAATGATATCTGTAATATGTTCAAACAATGGCACTCAAGGAAATGTATATATTTTGTACATAAATGAATGATAAAACATACCTATTAGCATTTCATACATAATCACTCCCAAAGACCACCAGTCACACAATTTGTTGTAACCAGTCTGCATGAATACTTCTGGAGCAATGTAATCTGGTGTCCCAACTGTGGAATATGCCTACAAAGGAGCAACTCGTCAAACCAGCATTCTTAACATTTAAAAAATATCTATCTGAGGATGGCTTACTACTGGAAAAAGCAATATATAGAGGAGTTAAATTTTCACTTGTATTTATTTTGCATGTTTATCATGTGCAAGGCTTAGTGGTAGGTAGTGAGTCAGATAATATGTTATAGACTACTATTTTTCAGTCTATTTACTTTCCTGAGGGAATGCTGAATTAGTTTTCCTTTCATCACTTAGTTGAACAAATATTTATAGAGTGTCCATATGTGCCAGGCATTTTATAAGAATATATCATTTCTGCCCCCACAAGAAGCTCAGTTAAGTTATTTATATATATAGCCTTCAGTCTATTTCAAAAAGAATGAAAAAGTTGAACCTAGAAGACCTGGCTTCCCCACTCACTACTAATGTGTTCTTGGGCAAATTATTCAATTTCTCTGAGGCTCAGCTTCTGCTTACATAAAACTAGAATAATAATACCTGCCCTAATAGAGTTGATATGAAGATGAAACAATAAACGGCATGTGTTTTGTAAACTACAAACTACAAAAATAAGCATGAGGTATTTTCATTATAAATGTAATTCCAGGGTACTGCTTATCCTTTAGGAAGCTATGCAGTTTTTAATTCTTAATTCATATAAAATCTTACAAAAATGATTTCTACAAGGCAGTAATTCTCAACCAGGGGTAGTACTCTTGGGGCCATGGCAAAATGTAGGACCACAGATTTTGTCATCTCAGTGACATAACTGGCATTTACAGGGCAGGGGATCCAGGTGCTAAAGAAATTTCCTGCCCCAAACACTGAGTCCTCTCTACTTCTCCCTTGGGAAACACTCGATCTAAGGCTTGGCAACTACTGGCCATGAGAATAATAAAACACACACCTGAGTAATCACCCATGAATATTTTGTAAATAGGGGGGTACAGAATTCCCCCACCATAATTTTGAGCAGTATTCAGTTTTTCCCCTTTAAAAATAGGGAATATTGCAATTATTCTCAATTGCAAAACCTGATCTAAAATGGACACATTTTAAAAGTAGAACAAAGTTTTTCTCCTTAATGTGTAACTCAATACATTTAAAAATACTGAAATGTTTTACAAGTTTTTGCAGTTACTTAGGTTAATGAGATAATAAGCTCAATAATGCAAAGGTCATTTTATTTGGTTTTAGAGGGTATTAGCCTATTATTTTTCAGTCTGTTTACTTTCCTGAGGGAATGCTGAATTAGTTTTCCTTTCATCATTTGGTTGAACAAGTATTTATAGAGTGTCCGTATGTGCCAGGCATTTTATAAGAAATGAGAAAAAGAAAATCCTAAGGCACATTCTTAACCTGTAGACTGTTGATGGACCATGTTAACAGGACAAAGGGAAAGAGGAGAAAGGGGAAGCAATTCTTCTATTTGCTCAGTTATAGAAAGGAAATAGTATGGGGTTAAAAATAATGTAATTCTATATTAAAGGAGTAATTAAATTTATCTGTGGCAAAGCCAGCTTTTTCAAATTTTATCTGTTTTATTGTAACACTGTTTACATCCCAAACTTCCTGTTTACTTTGTCTATAAAGAAGTTTTTAGAAACTCACAACCACCTTACTTGCTGATTGATATTTGTTGTATCAGGATTTGTAACACAGTTATGAAAAATGGAAAAATGGAAATCACAAGGCATTCATTACAATTGCATTCACCTCAGTGAGTTTTATTTAAAGTGCTAATTACTAGTAAACAGCTTACTTGTAGGTATGCTCAGTAAACTACTCTAAAGTTACAAAGTAAAAACCAACACTTTGCTTTACAGGCAAGGAAACTTAACAGAGAAACTAAGAAAACTGTGTGATCCCAGAGCAAGCGCTACCATTGTTATGAAGTAAATACTAATTATTATAAAGATAAAAATAATCAAGTTAAAACCAGGTAAGATTTTAGAACCAAGGCATAAAATTCTCTTAAAAACTGGTTGACTCACCAGTTGTCTCCTGTTCTTCTTCCAAGTTTCTGCTTTCCTCTTTGAGTTCATGTTCTGAAATGCTAATTTCAACAATATGGAATTGTAATCACGAGGGAAAAATGCTCTCCACAAAAAGAAAATACATATACATCTAAAACACAGTGGATTAAGGAGTGGGGAAAGGGAAAGAACCTTCTGTTCTCTACAGTATCTTAACCAGGGGAAAGAAGAAAAACAACAACCAAACTTACAGAAGTCACTTGGTGGGTTGTGTGTGAGATTTCTATAAAATTCAGTCCTGTGAGCTTTCTTTAATCCCGTACATAAACCAAAATCAGATAATTTTACATGACCCTAAAAAAAAATCCAGTAAAATTAGATCATATTAACTTTGAAAACAAAAAGCCTTGTTATAAACTCCTCTATTAAATGGCAATTATAATAAAAATTCTTAGCTTGGGATTTATACACGTAAAATGTAAAATTTTAAGTATCTGATGATGATTTTTAAAAGTAGAAAATGGAGGGAGATAAAAAGAGAGCCATATTCCCTGTTGTCATTTAATTCCCAAGTCCTCTCCTAGTACCTTATCATATAATGTTGTTTAGCAATATTCTAAATTGCAGTTGCTGATTTCCATTCACAAAATCAGCCCTACTGCTCTAAAAAATAATCAACAGCCTAGTAATTCACCAGTTTATTCACATGCCTTGGCATCCAATAAAAGGTTGTCTGGCTTAATATCCCGATGGATGAAACCCAACTGGTGGATCGCATCTATTGCCAGAACAGTCTCTGAAATGTAGAACTGTGTTTCCTCTTCTGTCAAGGTGTCTTTCTTCATTAGCAATGTCATCATGTCACCTAAATAAAGGATAGTCAAATATATTATTATTGAAAATGCCTCAAAGGTGGAATACCTTGTAAAAGCTTTCCTGCTTTTTTTACTTTTTTTTTTTTTTTTTTGGAGACAGAGTCTCACTCTGTTGCCTGGGTTGGAGTGCAGTGGTGTGATCATGGCTCACTGCAACCTCCGCCTCCTGGGTTCAAACAGTTTTCATGCCTCAGCCACCCAAGTAGCTGAGATTACAGGTGTGCACCACCACACCCAGCTAATTTTTGTATTTTTAGTAGAGATGGGGTTTTGCCATGTTGGCCAGGCTGGTCTCAAACTCCTGGTTTCAAGCTATCTGCCTGCCTTGGCCTCCCAAAGTACTGGGATTACAGGCATGAGCCACCATGCCCAGCTAGCTTTCCTGAGTTTGCATTTTATGATCTACCCAGTATATTTCTAACCACATCTTGGGACAAATAAAAGTGCTATTGCATAGCAGAAGTTTCATGACTTTTAATGGTTTTAAGGCAGAGACCATGTGAAATCAAATCACAAAAGAGCTGATAATGAAGTAATATCTACCACTCAACTTCTAGAATTAACTGCTGAGGAAAATGTCAAACTGCAAAAAAATCAGAATAAGTGCACCTGGAAACGAAATATATTCTTTTAGAGTTTAGTGGGACATTATCCCACTAAAAAAGGCACCTGCAGACATTCTTTTATTTTCAAGGAATTTTAAAAGTTTTAACAGTTTTAACTGTTGTAAACACTGGTGCACTTACAACACAGAATTGACAACTGATTACATTTTTTTCATATATTTTTTGAGGCTTTAAAAAAAATAGGGAGCCAGGGGCAGTGGTTCACGCCTGTATTCCCAACACTCTGGGAGGCTGAGGTGGGTGGATCACTTGAGGTCAGGAGTTTGAGACCAGCCTGACCAACATGGTGAAACCCCGTCTCTACTAAATACAAAAAAAATTAGCTGGGCATGGTGGTGGGCACCTGTAATCCCAGCTACTCAGGAGGCTGAGACAGGAGAATCGCTTGAACCCGGGAGGCAGAGGTTGTAGTGAGCCAAGATCACACCACTGCACTCCAGCCTAGGCAACAGAGCGAGACTTCATCTCAAAAAATAAAAATTAAAACAAAACAAAACAAAACCCAGAATTCTTTGCCCTCCATTGCCATTCTTTTCCCCTTGCCCTCTTTGCTGAGCAATGATTAAACCTCTTTCCTTTATAAATTACACAGTCTCAGGTATTTTTTTTTTTTTTTTTTGAGACGTAGTCTCGCTGTTTTCGCCCAGGCCGGACTGCAGTGGCGCTATCTCGGCTCACTGCAAGCTCCGCCTCCCGGGTTCACACCATTCTCCTGCCTCAGCCTCCCAAGTAGCTGGGACTACAGGCGCCCGCCACTGCGCCCAGCTAATTTTTTTTATTTTTAGTAGAGACGGGGTTTCACCTTGTTAGCCAGGATGGTCTTGATCTCCTGACCTCGTGATCCATCCGCCTCGGCCTCCCAAAGTGCTGGGATTACAGGCGTGAGCCACTGCGCCCATCCAGTCTCAGGTATTTTTTGTAACAACATAAAATAAACTAACACAACTTATAACAACCTAATTATATACAGTGAACCCAGAACGGTAATATTTAAAATGTGCTAACTTTATAATTCCTTCAAAACAATCTGTTTTGTGGTAAAAATGAGCATCAATATGGTAGTAAATATTTTTAAACTGTGACTATGTAAAGCCTCAGAGCAAAGAATATAAAAGTAAACCTCACCAATAAAATTATTGTTGCATATAAAGATGTGCTTGTATCAGTCTGTCATTGATACAATGTTTGCTTTTACCTCCAGGGAGAAATTCCATGATTAGATAAAGATTCCTCTTATCCTGAAAACTGTAAAACATCTTCACCACCCAGGCACCATCTGCTTCTACCAAAATATCTCTTTCTGCTCGGATATGGGCCACCTAGATGAATATATTTTTGAAAAAAATAATTGTAAATACATCACACATTTGTTAAACTCATCTCTTACACTTATCCATCCATAACAGTTAATGAAGGAAAGATGGAGTTTCAGAAGATTTGATACATGTATGAATGTTCGTATTCTCATCAAATATGGAGAACCTCAAGAAATAGTTTATTTTAGCTTATATCTTTAGGTCTGAAAAGGTGAGGTCAACAGGTATATTACGTGAAGCTGAGGCCTCTGAGGTAGAGCAAGAATCAGTCTAACAACTTTTTAACCAGAATCTCTACCCAGCCTAGGATCCTGGCTTTGTCACATAAATTTAGGGCACTAGTGTGATTTTTAAAGTTAAAAGTAGTAAGCAGGGCCGGGCACAGTGGCTCACGCCTGTAATCCCAGCACTTTGGGAGGCCAGGGCAGGTGGATCACGAGGTCAGGAGATTGAGACCATCCTGGCTAAAACGGTGAAACCCCGTCTCTACTAAACATACAAAAAATTAGCCAGGCATGGTGGCACACACCAGTAGTCCCGGCTACTCAGGAGGCTGAGGCAGGAGAATCGCTTGAACCCGGGAGGCGGAGGTTGCAGTGAGCCGAGATTGCGTCACTGCACTCCAGCTTGGTGACAGAACGAGACTCCATCTCAAAAAAAAAAAGAGTAAGCAATGCCCTGTAAATTGGTACAGCAAACCTAAGCTTGGCTAAAAATAGCAAACTATTTTTAATTGTTAAACAAAGGTCCCAGCTTGATCATTATTTGGTGTTTTTTAAAGAAATAGTAACAATTATAGTAACTTTATGTTATATTATTGTTATAATATAAAACCTCTACCATATCTATAAATGTTAGCTAAAGCAAATTTGTGTAACTTTTGGGGATTTTGCCACTGATTTCTCGGACACATAATTACTAGAGATACTATCATGTGAAAATGTTATAGACTGGAAAATTTTATAAACTGGATAATTTATGGGGTTGGTATAACTGGTCAGTTTGCAGATGCTTTTGCATTAATATATTTATACACTTTTTCCAAAGATTAATAAGATTTGATTTATGCTTTTGCTATTTTCATTGTGCAACGTTAAAAACTCTGGTCCAAAGCACATGAGAACATACATTTGTAAACCTTTCTATGATAATAAAATATGATCTGCTTAAAGTGTCATATTTGGAATTACTCCTAGTGCAGTAAATATTCTGAGATCAAAGCGTAAGAGTTGAGGAGTAAGAACTTGTCTTCTGGCATGAAAATACTTTATAATTTCTATGGATCTGTTTCATTAAGTGAAAAGTGGTAGCAAGAGTGCCTACCTATTACCTTTCATGAAGCAATTTAAGGTGGTAAGGAAAAGCCCTAAACTTTGGTGTTGCATCTGGTGTGTAAGGAAAACAACTACAACATAAACATGGCTTGATTATTTTTAAATGGTTTAAAGCCAAATTACAGGATCCCTTTCCAAAACAGGATCCAAAGGTTGGAAAGTATGACCTATAGTAATCTGGTAGAACAACAGTGAGGAGATCAGTTGGTATTTAATTTTGTGGGGGTGGTTTGCATTAAAATAAATGTGATAAAAGTTAAAATATTGATGTATTAGAATTGAGTAGAAAAAAGCTTTCTAAAACAAAATCCAGTGGTAACAAATGCAAATTAATTTATACAGGGGTAAAAAACAACCCCAAAATGCAAAGGCAACTAGACGTTAGGCTACGGAGAGATTTCCGCCCCCCACCTCCCCACAGGAAAGAGCAGTGGTCCAGAGGCTCCTTAACTTCCCACAAAATATTGTAGACCAAGGGCTGTCCAGTACAGATGTAACACAAGTCATGTATGTAATTTTTAAATTTTCTAGAAGCCACATACAGAATGAAATTATTTTTAATAATACAGTTTATGTAACCTAATATATCCGAATATTATCACCTTAGTATGTAATCAATATAAAAATCATTGAAATATTTTATTTATTTATTTATTTATTTTTGCACCAAGCCTTATTTGCTGGATATCCCAATTTGTGCCCAGTAGCCACATGTGGCTGGCTGGTATCTACACTACAGCTGGAACTAACTGCTTCCTTCTGTCCTTCCTATTATACCCTAGTAGGACTAATCCCATTATGGCTAAGTTAGATTCCTGTTGCCCTCCCTGTCTCTGAGGCTATGCATCTTTACCCACGTCCTTATTGCCATCATTATCTTTCTTTTTTCTTCCTTTTTGTGGAGAATGGGGTCTTGCTATATTCCCATCATTATCTATAGTTCTCTAATCCAACTCAGTATCTCAACCTTCCTTGCCTTCCACACCTCTTCCCTCTGGGGAATCATAGCCTGTCATCAACAAAATCCCCTATAACCCTGTCTCCTGATGGTTCCTATTACCTTCTTAACCTAACTGAAACTAGGGTGAAAAATCACCCAGCTATGCCAATGGGTTTCACTTTAAATTCATGACTGCAAATCTCAATGAGCCTTCAACTGCATTTCCTTAGCAGGTCTGCTTTCCCGCACCTGAAAATGACCATTTCACAATTTCTCTCCTTAAATATTCAAAAAGCCATCCCTCCTTTACTCGAAGCCACCCCTTGTAACTGCATTAAGGCACAGGAAACATGCAGAGAGCCCAGAATATTTACAAGGTTACAGATTTTAGAAATATGTAAAATCAGCAAATTTCCAGGAGACTAGTTTTGATTATCTGATATGTGACAGGGATTCTGGGAGCTGAGAACTGTCCTTTATTTTCATTGTAGTCAGAAAAGGAGGTATTTCAGAAGGTATGTACTGAATGTTCATGCATCTACAAAATTCATAGAGTAAAGCTTTAATCTCCAATGAGGCTGTATTTGGAGATGGACCCTTAGGGAATTAATTAAGGTTAATTAATGAGGTCATAAGGGTGGAATTAATGTCCTTATAAGAAGAGACACCAGAGAGTTCTCACAGGAGTGTGTGTCCCCGCACACACCAAGGAAAGGCCATGTGAAAACTTAGTGAGAAGGTGGCCATCTGCAAGCCAGGAAGAGAGGCCTCACCAGAAACCAAAACCTGCCCAAACTTTCATTTTTGACTTGTAGCCTCCAGAACTATGAGAAAATAAGTTTCTGTTGTTTAAGCTAACCAGCCTGTTGTGTTCTGTTATGGAAGTCTAAGCAGACATACATAGATTATAAATTTAGAAGAAACCTTAAAAGAACTGAGAAACACTAAAACAGGCTACCAAAAAATTAATAGCTTATGTAGTAAGATGTGTAAACTGCTTCTTAAAAATTCTAATATAAACACTCTTAACACTGCGTCAGTGGATGCTCCTTTATATTACATGTGTTAAAGAACTCATACCTGCTCTTTTTCAAGCATATCAGACTTTCTCAATATCTTCATTGCATAGATATGGCCTGTATCTTTCTTCTGGACCAACCGCACCTAAAAGATAAAAAACATATATTATAAAACAGTCACTACTATTTGTTCAGGAAAGAAAAGTAACTTCCCTTAAAGAAAGCAGGAATTTGCCAGTGTTGGTATTTCAGGAATTTTATATATATATATCTATATATTTTTATATCTATATATTTTTATATATGTTATATATATATTTATATATATTTTATATATATTAATATATATTTATATATATTTATATATTTACATTTATATATATTTATATTTATATATATTTTTTTATATATACATACAAACACATATATATATTTTTTTGAGAGAGCGTTTCACTCATGTTGCCCAGGCTGGAGTGCAATGGTGGGATCTCAGCTCACTGCAACTTCTGCCTCCTGGGCTCAAGCGATTCTCCTGCCTCAGCCTCCCAAGTAGCTGGGATTACAGGTGCCCACCACCACGCCCAGCTAATTTTTGTATTTTTATAGAGACGGGGTTTCACTGGCCAGGCTGGTCTCGAACTCCTGACCTCAGGCGATCCACCCGCCTCGGCCTCCCAAAGTATTGGGATTACAGGCGTGAGCCACCGCACCCAGCCAGGAATTATATTTTAACACATATTTTAAATTATCTTAAGATATATATTTGCAGCAGTAGTGACTTTTAAAAAGAAGCACACCTCTCCAAAAGCTCCTCTTCCTATAACTTTCAGAGACTCAAAGTCATCCAAGCCAAGTCTGGTCCTTTTGAGCCGTAAGAACTCTGTTTCTTTGCGAGCGTGTTGTGATCGACGTAACTTTTTCTATTAAAAAAAAACAATTTAAACGGATGATTTTATAATTAGGTTGTTTTGATGGAGCTTCTAGTATTAAAAGATGATACACGTAAAAATAAATGATAGCACTAATATGTAATATACTATTAGGCTAAAACAATTTAAAGAAAACTTTCTAAAATTTTTAACAACTGATAAATCTTTACTTTTGAGGTGGACTCCATTAAATATGTAATTCAGTCCATCATATTTGTCTATATATATATATATGTATAACTTATTCTTTCATCTATATGGTAACAATTCCATAAATAAAAATTAAATGTTAGTAAATGTTAATGGTATTCTGATACTGATTTTTATTCTGTCAGGAAATCTGCTTTGCTTCAATTCCTTAATTTCCAAGGTTGCTCTTTCACAACTACTGAGACTTGTGACAATAAAATAACAACATAATGGTAGTGTTTCCAAAGAGATTTACTTGTGGTAGAATTTACTCTTGGGCAAATTTTAATAAACTGCTTGAGACCTGGCATAGAACTTCCTGAAAATATAAAATTGCAAAAACAATTACAAGAAGAAGTCATTAAAATATCCAAGTTGGTAATTTCATAACTGATTCTACAAAGACCACAAAAAATAACTTCCATTAATAAGCAATACTGTGAAATACCTGCAGGTTACATTTGGAACAGGTATTTATTTTATTGTTCTAAACTTCATTTTTCACCCTCACCAATCAAAATTCTGTTTTTGGACATAGTTAGCTCCTAGTAGAGGAAACACTAAGTGGAAAAGAAACAATATCAGTGAAAAAATTTAACTCCTGTTCATCTTCAACTGAATCCTGCCAAGCTTTTAGTGGTTCAGTTTGGAGGGACAGACAAATCAAAATGAAAGTAACAGCTTAGAAACATTGCTTCTAAATGCAGCTCATGGTATAGCCTCTCCCTACTCCTGTATATATCTGTTTTTAAAAGGGTTAGGTGAACTATTAATTAGAAATATGTATGTAAACATGTATTATCAATGCAATGGAATTCTGATACTTCTAACAAAGTTAATCTAAGAAGATGAAATCAAGAAATGTCTTCAAACAGCTAAATGAAGTTATACACTAAGGCACACCAATGGTGTAAATTATGACAGTAATGAAGATAAAAATCAAGTACACAAATTAACAGGCTTTGCCTAATGTCTTTTTTTAATGTCTTTAATGTCTTTTTTTAAATGTCTTTTTCCACATCTGATATTGATTATAAAATACAATGGTACTATGGAAAAAGTAAGCAAACAACAATGAAAGATTATTTTTTTCAGTAAGAAGTGAGGCGATAAGCCGGGTGTGGTGGCTCACGCCTATAATCCCAGCACTTTGGGAGGCCGAGGTGGATGGATCATGAAGTCAGGAGATCGAGACCATCCTGGCCAACATGGTAAAACCCCGTCTCTACTAAAAATACAAAAATTAGCCGGGCGTGGTGGCATGCACCTGTACTCAGGAGGCTGAGGCAGGAGAATCACTTGAACCCGGGAGGCAGAGGTTGCAGTGAGCTGAGATCCCATTGCACTCCAGCCTGGGTGACAAGACCGAAACTCCATCTCAAATATATGTGTGTGTGTGTGTGTGTGTGTGTGTGTGTGTGTGTGTTTATAAAATTCCTGAAATACCAACACTGGCAAATTCCTGCTTTCTTTAAGGGAAGCTACTTAAATATCAGTTTTAACGGAGCTAAAATTACATTGATATAATTAAGAAAACAAATGTGGCCTGAAACAATAGTGAAGACTATTTTTTGCTGCTTTTTACCTAAATGCAATGACAAATACCCTTTTTTGCACATAGGTGTTCAAAAATACCTTTTGAATAATAAAAAAATAAATTACTAGTAAAACAAAAGAGAGCTCTAAAAAGTATCTGATTTTAAATTTTAAGACTAATTTTTAAAAGGCCACTTGGTGGCACTATAGTATCATGTCCTTTAAGGAAGTAGTGAGGAGGGTTTTTTTTTAATTACATAAAAGAATAAGAATTTTGAAAGTATTTTGAATCTCTCCCTTTATAGATTATAAAACAGTACAGTTGGATATAGTTGCAGAAATCCTGCTTAATCTGAATGGAAAAGATGACATCACTATACACAGTTTCATAAATTGTCTAGTAGTTTGTATAATGCAGCACTCACACAATTTATGTGGTTTTGGGCCCAGCCATTTAATAGCAAAAAGAGAGAGTCACAAGTGTATGGAACACATAATTCTATAAAAATGAGCATCACCTATAACATTGTTACATTAGTTAAAAAAAATTGATTCCATGATTTTAGTCTTAGAATCAGTGTTGCAGTCCAGAGGTAGCTGAATCAAATTCATGTTAAAAAAAAAATTGGTGAAAAAGCCTGTTGATATATCTACTCACAACCTGTATAGATTAAGTAGCCTTGAAAGACAAACAGTATCCTTGTGGTAATTGCATCCTTTCCTCTTCAAAGAAGACAATAAAAATCTGTGGACAGCTTAACATTTCACGACTCTCTTTTATAGCTTGAACTTGCCTATTTAGTTTTTCATTAGAGTAAATAACATTCCATGTTGGATGGGATTTTCTTAAGTGAGATGAAACTAGAAAGTGCTTTTCTTCCTTTCTCCATTCCTTTTTATATAGGTGTTCCTCAAACTCTCCATCTGTAGGGTGGCCAGTATTTGTATAAGACAGACAGTGCATACAAAATTTTTCAGATGAAAAGGGTTCAGCTAGCAACTTTATCTATTTTATTTTTATGAGACAATTTTATTTTTTATCAAACCCACCCCATATAAAGATGCTGTAACATACTTTATATTAAGGTTGAGAGAGCTTGTCTATTTTACAGAATTTGATATAATCCAGGCTCTAGCATGGAGCCTAATAATAAGCACCTGTGGAATTAAAAACATTTTTTAGAGAAAAACATTAGAAGTTTTATAAACTGGTATTATGGGCCACTGACTATTTTTTATGGAAAAATCATCTCCTATTTTCTACAAGTTATTCAGAAAAATTAGAGAAAATAGCTGTAAATGTAGTCAGTACTTGCTGATGCAGACCAGAAGTTGCAAACAGGAAGCTACAAACTATATTCAACCTACAGATATATTTGATTTGGACTGCAAGTTGTTTTTCAAAAGCAGGTGATTGGTTATTCTGCAAAAAAAGTCCAGATTACTAGCTTCTCTGGAAAAACAGGGCCTTGGCCACAGGGGCCAATGGTAGCAATCCTCTTTAGATGAGCCTTGGTTCCCTAATTTGTCAGTCCCCACCACTGATGCGAGTCCCTAGGAGGCATGTCCACATGGGCTGGGACTCTTATTACAGCAATGTGAAAAGTGGCATGTCTTTGCCAACAGATAAACTGTAAGGATCAATATTTAAGAAAATAATATTTTTTAAAAAGGAAAAATATTAATCTATTTCTTTGTGGAAGCAAAAAAAAAATCATATAAGTTGAATATGTAAACAAAGTATATCTGGATCAAAAGAATATAACCCTAGATGCCACTATGAAACCAACCTGGCCAGCTTATCTCACTTCCGTTGCCTGCTTAGTGTTTGGGCATCTGTTTTTGCAGTCTCTTCCCCTACACTTCAAATTAAGATCTTATGTTTAAGATTTCTATATCAATATAATGATGTATAATATATAAATGCAATTATATGGTTATTAATTATAAGAAATTTATAATTCTAACTTTAAAATGAGGAAAGATATGCTCAGTCTTATTTTTTCTCTATAGATTGGAATACAGATTTAAATCACTACCTTTCTCACTAAAATTTAAAGGACATAAATGAGCTTTTAAAATATTAATGACATGTAAATAATGATAGATAATTTTAAATGTAAAAACATCTGAGTTTTCTAGATTGAGTCAACTGATTAACAAAGTTACCACCTTTAGTATAAGTCATAAAATATTGTATTTGATTTAAACATTGCAACTATAAGGAACAGCTACAGTCCTAGGAAAGGTACAGGGAAGATTAGATACTGATTTGATTTCAATTAATCATTTGATGATGGTCTACTCTTTAAATATAGAAACTCTTTTTTTTTTTTTTTTTTTTTTGAGACAGACTCTCACCCTGTCACCCAGGCTGGAGTGCAATGGCATGATCTCAGCTCACTGCAGCCTCTGCCTTCTGAGCTCAAGTGATCCTCCCACCTGAGCCTCCTGAGTAGCTGGGACTACACACACAGGACACCATGCTTAATTTTTAAAATTTTTTGTAGAGACCAGGTCTTACTATATTTCCCAGGCTGATCTTGAACTCCTGGGCTCAAGTGATCCTCCCATCTTGGCCTCCCAAAGTGCTGGGATTACAGGTGTGTGCCACTGCACTCAGCATGTTAAACTAATTAATCTGGGTTGTGACTCCCTATTGCCTAGTACTAAAGTATACCTTTTTTAGTAAACTATTCTAAACCTAGCTTTCCATGGTGTGCTATCAACTTACCTCACTATTTCCTTTTATTGCACCCTTTATAGCTCAAATGTAAACTCATTATTCTGTACATGTATTCATTATTTTGTATACATCCCTTACCTCTAATGTAAATTCTACCCATTCTTTACAATTCAAATCAATTATTACTTCTTCTATGAAACATTTTCTGATCCTCTGAATTAGAGGAAAAATCTTCTCTATATTTTCAACGTTCACCACATTCTATCATGCGTACATATTTTTACACACACACACTCACTCACTCTCCCTCTCCTAATCTAAAACTCCTTGAGGGCAAAAGCCATTATTTGTTTATTCACCAAATATTTATTCTAGCTCTCTGCCAGACAGCTGTGGAGATGTAATGCTCAACAAGATGTTACAGTGTCTAGTCTTTGGGAAGACTGTATTTTAAGGCTCCCATGGGGACAGGAACAGTAGAATACAGAAGGTACCTTGAGAGGTTAAGGAAGATTTCCCAGTGGAAGTGATGCCTGAAGTGAGGCCTAAAGCTGCTGCTTTGCCCAGGCTGGAGTGAAGTGACATGATCATAGCTCATGGCAACCTCAAACTCTCAGGCTCAGGTGATCCTCCCACTTCAATCCTACCAAGTAGCTAGGACTACAGGCACGTACCACCATGCCCAGCTACTAAAGATTCTTGAAGAATAATGGGAGTTGGGTAGGAGTGAGGAAGAGTTCCAAGCAGCAGAAAGAGCATGTGAAAAGGTCCACAGGCAAGACAGGGGACATCAAAGAAATTCATACTTGTCAGCGTCGGGGGCGGGTGACAAGAGATGAGGCTAGAGAGAGATAAGCAGAGGCCAAGTAGTGAAGGTATACCAATTTTTTTTTTTTTTTTTTTTTTAAGACGGAGTCTTGCTCTGTCGCCCAGGCTGGAGTGCAGTGGCGCGATCTCGGCTCACTGCAAGCTCTGCCTCCCGGGTTCACACCATTCTCCTGCCTCAGCCTCCTGAGTAGCTGGGACTACAGGCGCCTGCCACCGCTCCTGGCTAATTTTTTTTTTTGTATTTTTAGCAGTGACGGGGTTTCACCGTGGTCTCGATCTCCTGACCTCGTGATCCACCCGCCTCAGCCTCCCAAAGTGCTGGGATTACAGGTGTGAGCTACCGCGCCCGGCCCAGGTATACCAATGTTAAAGAGCTTGCCCATATCCCGAGATAAGGGAGCCAGTGAAGGGTTATTAAGCAAAAGAGTAAGATGATCAAATCTATTTTTAGACCAATTACTCTAGCTGCAGTATGCAGAAAAACTGGGGGTGGGAAATGGGGAGACCAGTTGGGGACAGTTATTTTTCAGGTTAAAATATATGGTAGTTTAAACCAGGGTAATAGCACTGAACTAGAGAAATAGATAGCTTTAAAAGAATATTTAGAAAAAATTTTAGAAAAGCTAACGATTGATTAATTCCTCCCGGAGCTTGCCTTTCTCATTCCACACACCTAAAATACACTTGGCAATGTTCTCTTAAATACGTGTTCTTGGAATTTAAGAAAAAAACAAAACTGCCTCCTTCTAAAGATATCAATAAAAGATATCCATGACAGCAACAAAGAAGCCCATATTCAAATGATAAAATCCACATTATTTAAGTTATAAAATACCTGATGTCAAATGAATGAAAAGTCACTGGGGGTGCTTTTGTACAGTAATTATAGGTAATTACATTACCTCTTCATCTGCTAATCCTTCTTCTTCCATGGCCACTTCTAATTTCTTCTGCCTTTTCAAAGGAAAAAAAAATTAAATTTTAAATACATTCCTAACTATTTCCACTTAAGAAATATACATTTATTTATTCAGGTTAACCACTTCAGCTTGCTAGGCTAAAAAAAAAAAAACTTTCAAGTTGGATCAACATAATCACTAAGAATAGTTTTCTTTCTCAAAAAACAAACCCAGATTTTGCTTTCTCATACTGGCCAAATGAATAATTTACTTCTAAGGCTTACTTCACGCTCCTGCCTAAATGAAATGTTGGCAATGACTGATGTTCTAATATGGAAAACTCTGCTACTTAATGTTCAATCTACCAATATCATTAATATTTCCCAATGCTTATATTAGAAATATAAAAAGATAACTATACTGACTAAAAGTATAAAATTTTAAGGTAAATATCCCTGGTTCTAACACTTATTAGCTAAATGAGCTTGGCTAAGTCCCTCACTGAAACTCTAAGCTCAGTTTTCCTTAACTTATGAAGGAAAAATGTTCAATGCAATTGCATTTATTTTATTGTATTAAAATTATTTGAAAATTGGAAAGTCATATATGTGTGTTTTTAAAAACCCACCAGCGGCCGGGTGCGGTGGCTCACGCCTGTAATCCTAGCACTTTGGGAGGCCGAGGTGGGCGGATCACGAGGTCAGGAGATCGAGACCATCTTGGCTAACACTGTGAAACCCCGTGTCTACTAAAAATACAAAAAAAATTAGCCGAGCATGGTGGCTGGCGCCTGTAGTCCCAGTTACTTGGGAGGCTGAGGCAGGAGAATTGCTTGAACCTGGGAGGCGGAGGTTGCAGTGAGCCAAGATCGTGCCACTGCACTCCAGCATGGGCGACAGAGTGAGACTCTGTCTCTAAATAAATAAATATTTTTTAAAAACCCACTAGCTACCAGAACATTTGCTTTTCTAGGTACAGCCAGGTTCAGTTATTCATTTTTTTTAAACAGCACCCTTGAAGTTAGTTAAGCTGAGCATCTGGGGTAAGGGCAGTGTGGATGAAGTAACTAAAACTAGAGAGATGGTTGTGGAACACATTTTGCAACTCATTTCCAAGTGAGTATTAGTATTTTATTTCTATTGTATTGGTTTTCCCTAAATATAAACCTAGCAGAACTCCTCCTAATTAGTTCTGGAGTGTGTCAGAATAACAGTAACTTTTCAGGATTTAACTGAATGGGTATAAGGGTTAAGGATTGAAACCCTCCCACAACTTTTTGATATTTCTTATTCATGGCTACATGTCCAAAGGTAAGCTTTTTTACTAAACCATCATTAAGATCACTTAGTTTTCCTTCTTATAGAAGATTTGTAACATTTAAAGCCTGTTGATACATCAGCACCCCACTGGAGAGGATGAGGCCTAAGAGCATATTCTCCAACACATGTTTCCTCAGTGCTTGTCATAGGCACCTACCTTGGTGCTTATTACACTGATTTTTGTCTTTTGTTTATGCATTATTTCCCCTAGGCCCCAACCCTTAGACAAGAATAATCTCCTAACATCAGATTCTGTGCTGCCATCACCTACCCCTAGGCACTTCAGTGCTGCTTGTTGAATGATTTCCAGTTTTCTCCTCTGCAGAAAGAATCCAGAGAGTAAGAGGACCATTATTCTGGGAGGAGCTATAACATATAAACAACTTTATTCTTCTGTCAAATTTCCACTGTCCCTTTCCTCAGTTATTGCCAAGACTAACACTTCATGAAATCATTCCTCATTCTGGAAGAGATACAGTAACTTTTATCCATTTCTACCATATCTAAACAGGAAGATCCATGATTTCTGTTGTACCTTTTTTAAAAATAGTTTTCCACCTAAAATGCTCTTATGCTTTGCTCTGATTAGAAATTTATTGGGCTTATGCATTTATCCAATTAGTTAAGCCTTAAAAATACATCACATTTTCTTAAAAGTATAAGCTTTTAGAAAATATGAGCAGATTGTTCGACTTGACATACAGTGGCACCAAGCTGAGACTACTTTTTTTTTCAATAACACAGATAATTTTATTGTTACTTTCCTTTATTTGGAAAAAGAAAGCAAACTGAATTACTTTAACACTGCAGCAAGTAAAGACAATGAACCTTCGAAATTCTGATGAATTTTTTTAAGTGCCTGCTTTTTCTTCCTTGGTTCTCTTCTACTTTATTCACTCTCCCAGGATGGTCTGATCACTTCCAGAGACTTTAATTACCCTTGTAATTCATTTAATTATTGATATATTTAGATTTTTATTTCTAACTTATTTTGTGCTATTTTGGTATTTCATTTTTACCATTTTTGGTATTTCAGTTTTTCTTTCTCTCTTGCATTCTTTTTGAACTGACTTTTTTTTTCTCATTCCAATTTTTTCCTTCTACTAGTCTGGAAATTACAAACTCTATTTTTATCATTTTATGGTTACTCTAGAACTTACAACATAATTTGTCAAACTCTGAAGCTAATCTCTATGCCCTTTCTACTAAGATCATTAAGAACACCTTAATTCTAATTACTTCTTTCCTGAATTATATTCTGCTGTTGGAAAATATTATCGTTCTATTTTTTAATGTGTAAGATATTATCGCTATTATTTCTGTTGCTTTATATAATTTTTGTTGAGATTTATCCACCTACTTACCATTTAAATCTTCTATTTGTGGTCACTTTCCTTCTGCCTAAATGGAACTTTTTGGAATTTCTGCTGATGCTAACTCTTTTTTTGTTTGTTTGCCTCTGCTCTATTTTCATTCCTTTCCTCCCTTTCAGAACTTTTAGAGATATGTCAAGTCTTCTCATGATTCTCCATGTTTCTCAACTCTCTTTCACATATTCCTATTTTAAGTTGATTTCTGAATAATTATTTTCCAGTTCACTAATTCTCACCATACCTGTATCTAATCTGCAGTTAAATCCGTCCAAAATTAAATGAGACTTTTCCTCTCTATTTCATTTAAACTGTACCACTCTCAGTTTGCCCAGGCATGAAATTTCAGAGGCAACATTGACTTATTTCCCTCACATTTCATATTTTGCTAGTAGCCACATTTTGTCAATCTTTCTTACTTGTCAGTTCTCTGTTGTTGTTGTCACAATTCTAATTCAAGCCTCCTTTCCATTTACCTGGACTACATCACTAGACTTTCCTGTTTCTAATTCCCCACCCTGACCCCAAACCATTCTCTGTATCACAACTAAAGTTCCTTTCTAGAGAAACACTTGTTTTCATTTGATTCTTCTGCTCAAAAACATCCAAGGCTCTCCACTACCATGAAAAGAGCTACATTAACAAAGAATCCAAGGCTCCCAGGATGTTGGAATCTAGCACATCCTGTGCTTGAGCGAAATTGGACACTGCCTGACCTGGTGATTTCTTCTGTCTCTAATATCCTTCCCTCCTGCTCTTTTGCCTCTGTCTCCTTCCTTTTATGCATGTATAAATAGTTCTTCTCCTTTAGAGCCCTGTTTAAATGCCACCACTATTTACAAAGCTTTCCCAGTTGCCTAGACAAAAGCACATTCTCCCTTCCTTGTACTTAATATTCTTCACTCTTTCATTTATATATTTATGTGTGTTATCTCCTTTAGTATAAGTTTTCTAAAGTCAAAATAACATGTCATTCTTTTTTTTATTCTTCTATTCCCCCTGATATGCACTGTAAATGCTTTTGGATTAAAGTCAGTCATTCATAAAGCATCTTTTTTTTTGAGACAAAGTCTCACTCTGTTGCCCAGGCTGGAGTGCAGTGGTGTGATCTTGGCTCACTGCAGCCTTGGCTCACTGCTGCCTTCAAGCAATTCTCCTGCCTCAGCCTCCTGAGTAGCTGGGATTACAGGCACCCGCCACCACACCCGGCTAATTTTTTGTATTTTCAGTAGAGATGGGGTTTCACCATGTTGGCCAGGCTGGTCTTGAACTCCTGACCTCAGGTGATCTGCCCACCTCGGCTTCCCAAAGTGCTGGGATTATAGGCATGAGCCACACCACACCAAGCCAGGCATCCCTTTAAAAGAAAATGTAAAGACATATCATAATTTCATGTTTGGAAAAGGTTTGTTTAAAACGTTAATTGGCATGTCATACGGGTATATAGATGCACAAGACTTGGGGCACCTCAGGAAACTACTCTGTGAAAATAAAACACATGTCTATGTGCACTGTCAGTACAGGAAACTCAAAAACAGCATGCAGGGATCCATAATATTCATATCATTCATGGTAAACAAGTTTCTATTCCACTCACAGCACAACAGCTTATTTAACTAAAAAAAGTTTTGATTAGCCCTTACTATACCTGGTTTCTCTCTCTTCATGCTGTAAAATTAGGTTGCTATAAAAATTCTCCAATGTGAGCTTGGCTACAGTCACTCTTTCCCGGGTATGGTTGCTCATAGGAAAGGTTGTTGTAGTCCCTGCCGTCATTGCCATAGTAACGGAAACTGAAACAACATAGAAAAACAAATTATTCAGTGGGAAAAAAAACCCCTATCTTTTATAATAAACTCTGAAAATGTTCAATTTCAACTAAGAAAAATTCGACCCTAACAGTTAACACATCCAAGTATTTCACATTATAAATAATACAAAGCTAGGGAAGAAAGAAAAGCACTATTTCCAAAGCAAGAGAAATTCATATTGTGGTGGCAAAACCAGGAGTTAATGACAGCAAAGAAGAACCAGTGGCATCCATATATAATATAGACACATTTATATACAAAGGTCACATTCAACAAGCATTCAAAACAAGAAAAGTTCCAGCTATTTTGTTGTTTCATTACTAAATAAAATCTATAAGATAGTGCTAATAGCTATGTCCCTGATAAATGTCAGTCTCCTAAGAGTTAATGCAGTTTAGTTTAATAGTAAGAAGTAGCTTCTGCCTTATGAATTCTATGAAACATGAAGTGTTGTATCAAATATGCATATAAACACCAGCCTAAAGCAACGTTCACGTATATTGTAGGGGGAAACTACTTTTAGAAACAGGCACCTTTGGATGGGGCTCATAGCTGCCCATTTCATTCTGAATTCTGGGTCATTCCAAAACGTGCTATAACAAGGTATAGTACACTTCTCCAGACTGTGCAGCCCATTTCATTTTCAAATGAAATTCAGATGCCTATAGGAACCAAGAAGGAAACAGAAATGTATGAATGAAGCCAGGTAACAACAGGGAAGCTTTGTGGCCTTAAGTGGACAATGTATGTCTGCTTAAAGGCATTCCAGTGCCAACTTTTAGAGATCACTGGGCCACGCAAACAAAGTACCGTTTCAAAGAAAATAATCTGGACTATTAGATAAGGAGTGTGGCAAAATGGCCACTTGACGGGGGGAAGACTGAACTCCGATGGCTGCGGCAGGTGGCCACTGACCCTAAGAGACTTGCCTACTACAGCCACATCTGGATAAAAAGACTAGAAGAGTTCATACATTAAAGAGGCTTTGCTTATCTAGATGAAGATCGTAACAGACCAGTCCAAAGAAGATCCAGCTTGCCAAGAGTGACCATCCAAAGCATTCTTAGTTGAAAAGTGTTCCCCAAACCTGCCACCTATGCCACAACATCCATCTTGCTTTAAGTAAAGAAGATACAGAGCCCTGGATGTGGACCTGAAGTGGACTAGATTCCAGGGTTGATGGAATGAACCAAAAGATGTCAAGCAAGTCAAGTGTAGGTTGAAAGCAAACAATTATCTATGGCAAACTCCCAGTTCTACTGTTGTCCTATTAGGGGTTTATACCTCAATGTACTGCTTGAGCCTCAGAATCACTATGTCTAAAACTGCATCTATTATTTTGGCATAAATTTGTTCCTCTGCTGACTACTTTAAATGAGAAGCTGATCGTGTCACTTGTTTAGAATCAGTCATGGTTCCTCATTGCCTACTGCAAGTCAAATTAGCTACATATGATCAATAAGAACAACTCACATACACTGAGTATGGTTATATATCAGGAACTTTATGATATTTTATTCACTGATTTCCCCCTTTTTTTCTCCTGAGGATTTAAGATAGAGGCACTTGCCATGCATGATTGCATTTCATCCTCACGACAGCCCTGCAAAGTAGGGAACTGAAGTTTGGGGCAAGTCACATAGCTAGTGTGATGTGGAGTCAGGATTCCAACTTGCTATCCTTATCTGTTGCTTTTTATATTTTCTATCCTTATCTGATGCTCTTCCTCACCACTCATTCTTTTCCCAACATACCTAGCTCTTTCATGCCTCCAAGCTCTTCCATGACCTATCCCTGAAGCAGTTATATCCACTGCAGGATATGTCTCTGCAGGAATCTGCTGATCCTTTATGGCCCAGTTTAGCTGAAGTCTTACTGCTGTGGTGACTTCTCTAACATGCTCTGCAGAAGAGGCAAAGCATTTCTCATTTTTTTGGTGCATGTTCTCTAACATTTGTAGTCAGGTACTGGTGGCTTATCACTCCTAAGAAAAATTCGGCCCTAACAGTTACTCCACCAAACCAGGAACATCTCCATGTAAGAACTCTTTCTGATTCATTTTTCAAAACTCACAACAGCACTGCATCTGACTCAGAGTAGTCATGAATGAATGAATGAGACAACCTATTGATTGGGGGGAGGGAGGGGGCGCAGTAACAGTAGTTGAAAGAATTAGCCAATAGTAAAGTGCTCTGTAAAGATTGGCTAATAAGCAACTGTGGAAAAAGAAATTACAGAAGGTAGAAGTCAGAAATTAAAAGATCTAATCCCAGCCTTGTTGCTAACTGATCATATGGTCTTATTCAAATCACCAGAACACCCTTAACTCAAGTCACTTTTCCCAAAACAGGGCTTAAAATATTTGCTCTGCCTGGTTCACAGGCCTAGTTCTAAGGCCATCTGAGATAATACACAGGAAAGCCACAATGGCTTATACAAATGTAAGATACTATTCTAGGCACCTAGTTTAATCTTTGTATTGTGCTAAATGCTTTAATAATAATGAGCATTATTTTTTAAAACAATAAATAATGAAAAATAAACTCAAGAATTATCATGGCCAAGTGATTTTTATGGATTAAGCTGCTCTTACTGAATTGCTAAAACAATGCTGCCAAATCATTTTTGGAAATTTCAGAATCATTGGGCTCATGTTCTATGTTTCAGGATCAGATGCAGAAAGGTCAAAGAATGCCAGGCACAGTGGCTCATGACTCTAATCCTGGCACTTTGTGAGGCCAAGATCATTTGAGGCCAAGAGTTTGAGATCAGCCTGGGATCTCCTCATCTCTACAATTTTTTTTTTTTTTTTACTTAGCTAGGTGTGGTAGTGCACACCTGTAGTCACAGCTACTCTGGAGGATGAGGCAGGAAGACTGCTTGAACCCTTGTTCAAGGTTACAATGAGCTGCGATTGAACCACTGCACTGCAGCCTGGGTGATGGAGCAAGACCCTGTCTCTAACTGGAAAAAAAAAAAAAGGTCAAAGAAGGAAAAGTGAAACAGGGATCGTGTATAGAAAACATCTCTGAAATCAAATCACATTTGTTAACTGGGGCTTGGGATGGGAGAGGAAGGATGGACTGGAAATTGAGGAATTTAAGTAAATTTAAGAAACCCAGACTACACAAAGTTAAATAAGTTTCTTACTATAAGACTTCCCAGCATCTTTTTTTTTTTTTTTTTTGACAGAATTTCACTCTGTTGCCCAGGCTGGAATGCAGTGGCGTGATCTCGGCTCACTGCAACCTCCACCTCCTGGGTTCAAGCAATTCTCCCACCTCAGCCTCCCGAGTAGCTGAGATTACAGGTGCACGCTAATGTTTGTATATTTAGTAGAGATGGGGTTTCACCAAGTTGGCCAGGCTGGTCTCGAACTCCTGACCTCAAGTGATCTGCCTGCCTTGGCCTCCCAAAGTGCTGGGATTACAGGTACAAGCCACCTTGCCTAGCCTTCCCAGCATCTTTAATATGCTAACATGCATCCTGAATCCTCAAAAGGAGGACAGGTGTACAATTTGCAGTAGTATTCCAGTGAACCTTCCCTAGGCATATAAAATTGCAGTTCATAGATAGTTCTCTTCAAATGCTTTTTGGTAAACAACTGCCTGTTACTTTTTCAACAAATATTTGGGGTGGGAAAACCTTAAAAGTACCATTAAAGAGCAACACCCTACGATTGTAGAATGATTTCTGACTTGCCTTGTATTTGTTCTAGCAAGCAGATACTAATGAACAGAGAAAATGTCCAGAAGATCTGTAGCCAATAAAAATTTATAAAGTGGTTTGCCACTTTACAAGTTTGCCTTAACAAAAGGTAAAGACCCAACTCTAGTTGTCCAAGGCCTTATATATTCCTTTCAAAAAGTGAATGGTGAAAAACATAAAAAACCTTTTATAATGCCTCTTGAAAAAAGCACAAAGAAATAACACATGACTCACAGAATTATGCTGTTCACAGTTATGCTTGCAGAAATGGGAGAGAAAGATGTATGTTGAACTTGGGGTTTGGCCTTGGAGGGAGCTGACTGTCTGCCAAGGGGCCTTGTCGAGCAGGCTGCCCTGCTCGGTCTGCCAAGCGGCAAGGTCTGGCCCTCAGCTGCCAGTGTCTCAGGGCAATCAAATTCTGGAAGTCACTTTATCCTAACAAAGTTCACAAAAGACAAATATACAAGACAGAATGCAGTTTACTGATTTACACAGTAAGACACTGAGTAACAAGAAATTAGGTTCAGAAGATTGCTTGGCGAGCATGGCATCAAAACAAAGAGAACTGTTATTCAATTTAAATGTTGAATGGGATTGGGATAAGGTGGAATCTAAAACACACAAGGCTGATGGCTATCTTGCCTAGAGCACCTATGTCCACTGGAAAGTGGCTGTAGGAGATGGTCTGCTACAGACTAGGCCTTCCCAGAATGAAGCCAAATTGGGGGGCTAGAGGTGGACAAAACTTTTGAGGAACATTAAGGAACAAAACTTTTGAGGAAATTTTTGTGAAACATAAAGAAGTGTTAGGGAATTCAAAACAATTCCAAACAACAGAAATTGTCTGCATTAACCGTATAAAAATAGAGCCAGGCATGGTGGCACATGTCTGTAGCCCCAGCTACTTGGGAGGCTGAGACAGGAGGGTCATCTGAGCCTGGGAGTTCAAGGCTGTGGTGCACTATGGTGGCGCCTATGCATAGCCACTGGACTCCAGCCTGGGTAACAGAGTGAGATCTAGGCTAAAAAAACAAACAAAAAACCCAACAGTATAGAAATACATATGAGGTCATTTTAGATAAATATTTATGAACCTGAGGTCTTCAAAAAAGAAGGTAAATAGAAGATGAGGTTTCTTCCATCATAGGAAGTTGTAATGAGTTTTACTCCAAAATCGGAAGTGGATGTCAAGTAATGAAATATTACTTTTAGACTCTATATAATTTAGTAATGATTATGATGTTCTTTCCATTGTAGTTACACATACATGTATGTCTTGTTTAAAAACCAAATAAGGGCAAAATCTCCATCTATTTATCTTTGTAATGAAAGCATCGCAGTACCTGGCAAAGTGATGAGCACACAGTAGGCAGTCTGTAAGTGATGGTAACTCAACTCTAATGTAATAGATTTTAAATTATATGTGTGTTTCATATATAATAATTTCATTTGGGTTAAGAAATACAGAATCATTTGGTATTCTATTAGCCTTCAGAAATAAATCTTACTTAAGAAACACATTTGCAGAAAAAACAAAAATCCCACCCTTACTCATGATTATACAATATCTTGTATAGTTTAGCTTTAAAGATTAGCTTTAAAAACAAGATTAGCTTTAAAAACAAGATTAGCTTTAAAAACAAGAAAAATTTGTTTCCTTCTTACCAGACACAGACAGACTTTTAAAAATTTAAATTATACAAAACTAAGAAGTGATCAAATTATTACAAAGAATGGTCTAGATGACTGGCACTTATTGTATTGCAAATGTATTCCTTTAATGGATTTAACACTGTTCTTTTTGTTTTATTAAAGCCCTTTCTTTGGCCAGAAAAAGAACAGGATACAATTTGCAAGTCTAGAATTCCTGGACTGATAAAAACAACACAAGGTGCCCTTGAATTTCCTGTTCACGTGTGTTTTCTCCAGACTGCTCTATTCATTAATGGAGACACTACCAATAGTTAAGTCCAACATTCTTTTTTATCAAGCCTGGGGAAAGGAGATAACAAATCTGGCACTCAGGCCATTTATAAATAGATGTGGTATCTCCAACCATTTACCATCAAATTTCTAAAGGAAGAAAATAGAACTGCTTTACCTGGCTGTAAAACAAATTATTTAACTGGTGATTTCACCTTAGTTTTCACATACTGCATTTCAGAGGAAGGAGTGTCCTTAATGCTACTATATTGCCTTGTAGTATAAAAATTCGCCTAAATTCAATTCACTAGTTGCAATCATAATGCCCTAGGCTACAATAAGTCCTCAGATTGTACACTGTATAAACTGGGTCCCTAACGAAAGGGCAGCTACAGCTTCTTTCCTCTCTGAGGCACAGTCTAAAATGCAAGAAATTCATAGGTGAAGTTTCAAATCCCAGCATTAACTTTCACTAATTGTTTTATTTTCAACCAACATTTATTGCAGATATATACCATGTTGACTGTATGAAGTGCTGAGAATAAGACTGATAAAACACAGTTCCGGCCCTTAGGGAGTTCATGATCTTATGGAGACACAAAGTAGGGAGAAATCAGTGCTTCAAGAGGAAGGATAATCAAAGGTTTAATACAGAAGGTGATGCCTGAACTGAATCTTGGAGGGGATGGGGCTATAGTAAGAGTTCACCAGTCAGATGGACTCAGAGGAGGAAGAGCTGTAAGGCATGAAATACACTGACACACTTAAGCATACCGATAGACTGAGTATATTTGATTAAATGGCAGAAGATGAAGGTAGAAATAAGGAACTTTTTTGTCATGTTAAAAATTATCCTGAACATAAATGGGAATCACTCAAGGCTTTTAATTTAGTGAAAACCTAACAGCCATTAAAGAATATTTATTGAGTTTTTACCCAAGTACCCAGAATTCTTCTAAGAATATTACATTCTTAGAAGCATTTAATTCTCCTAACCAGCCCTCAAATCCTATCTGATTTGCACTTCGGATAGATTATGCTGGTACAGGGAGGATGGCCAAAAGGCTGGAAGTACAGATCAGACTAGAGGAAGTAAATCTGCTCAGGAGGCTTAATAATGAATAGTCAGAGATTACAACCTGGTAGCCTGCAGAATCATTTTGTTAGGCTTGTGCTACAATTTAGAAAGTAGAAGGTTTCACATGAAAATCCAGGTTTCTGGTTTCTCCTGAAAAGTCTGATCTGTCCACAATGAGCTCTGTCAGCTCCACAATGACAGCTGGAGCAGAGCTGCAGCCGGCCCCTTACAATACAACATCCCACCCGTCCACCAACTCTCCATTCCCACGTGCCCAGACTCATTCACTTTTTATTACCCACATTTTATTACCCACCTGCTTCCTTTACAGCACATTTGAGATTACAGAATAGTGAGGGACTAATTAAGATAGTAGCAGAAGTGAAGAAGCCTCAGTTAGTCAGCTGGAAAGACTAAAGTCTCTAATTATCTCTAAGTTTCAGATGTGGATGACTGGGTAAATGATCAGTAAGGACAGAAAGTATAAGAAAAGCTAGTTTAAGGCTAGTTTAAGAAAGTTAGTTTAAGGCTGATCCTGTCTGAGTTATTTAACCTGAGTCAGGATCCACATTTCTAAAATGGAGATCATAAATGCCAACCTTATAAGGTTGATATGACGCTTTGATGGTGGCAGAGCACAGGATGAAAGGCCAGATTGCCTGGGTCTGAATTTTGGTGCAGCCATTCACTAGCTGTGTCACTTTAGGCAAATTAAACTTTAAACTTTCTGTGTGTCAGTTTCCTGTTAAATAAATATAATAATAGCCACCTTGTGTGCATGCTTATTATGATAATATAAGACTTAAGATAATTCTAAAAGTTAGTACTTGTAAAAGGACTGAGATACGTCATGTGTTTGATAAATCAATAAATCAGTAAAAAATATTTTTAAAGTATCTCCTAGCACATATTAATGCTCAAAAATTATTAATTTTCTTCCCTTCCCTGCTCAATCTTCCTGCTCATCCCTCCTGCCTTGGGCTGCTGCCATTGTCAGTTAGTTTGTAAATTTAATCTCTAATAGACATTCCCTCTCTCTTCTGATCTTAGCCTACTTCTTTGACAAATTAGATTACTTCTAATGGAGAGGGGAGAGAAATGTAGCAAAAAGAAATATTTAAAGTAAAAAAAGAACTCTTGGTAGAAGCCTTACTAGAAGTTAGTAGTGATTTGGGGTAGAACTAGAGGTAGAGGTGTTCCAGGGAAGAGCTAACCCTTTCTCTCACAAAAGAGTGATTCTCATGAGGCAACACACACCAATTTATTTGTAATCTCTTTACTGTATCTGCTGTTAATAGCTTTTGTTTTTATTTAGCGTGGCCCTCTCCATGTGGCGTATGCCCTGATCACTAGACCAGAGGAATGCATTTCATAAACAGACACCCTTGTCTTTGCTCCTTCTGTGAATCATAAGGTTGGTGATGATGGCACAGTGGTGCTGAACTCAACATTAGCATTTTCATTTTCAAAACTGTTTTCGAAATAGTTTTCCTATGCACAAAAATATAGTTCAATGGTTGAGTACCTGAAAGCTTATTTGGCTGTAGTAATGATGTTCATGGCAGAATACCTGAGTTTATTGGTCCAAATAATTACTAAAAATCCCTCTGAACTTCATTTTTTTTTAAAACTTGCAATGAGAAGGGGAAAGTGTTTATAAACCAAATGCAAACAATTAAGAGGTAAATTTACCAAAGCAGCAATTTTATTTAAAATTCTATTTACCGATCTTAATGTTTAGATAAACTATCACCCTGTCTTTCTCAAAAACATTCAGAAAGAAGCAGTCTATTCTTAAAATATTTATAAAATTTAATTGTTCTATTGCTATATGCCTATCTGGTAGTGCACTAGATTTTGTCTGCAAAAAAATGTTCAGCTGAATCAAGTCATAGTTAACTTTAAAAAATTACCTCAGCAGAAATGCCACATAACTTCAAATACTTATAATCTAGCACCTCGATGGGAAAAAAAAATCAATGCCAACTTTTAGATAGTATGGGCATCCCTAAAAGAATTTTAAATCAGTTTCTATTACTGGCACACACACGAGCACATACAGAAAAATATTTGTCTTGATTGATATAAAAGAGAAAAAAAGCCACAATTTGCAAGAAGGGGGAGTAAATGGCAGGGGGGAGGGAGATGATGGGTAACGAAGGTGAGGGGAGACCAGAGTGAGTATGTCAACATTATTTGTAAAGGAGGAAATATTCAGAGGTAAAACAAAATGAAAACAACTGGGAAAAAACAAATTTATAAATATATATATAAAATGATATATCTTTATGTTATTCATATTTAATTATAAAATATATACAGAAATTTATAGAATTTATAAAGATGAATTAAGTGGCCTAGGGAAACTTTTGGAGAGCATGAGAGCATGGTTGGGGGAAAGACAGATATTACAGTGATCTAGAGAATTTGGGGCCAACAGGTTTAAACTATGGCTCTGAATTGTGGGTTTGGATGAGTGAGATGATAGCTAGTGCACCCAGAAGGATCTATCCTTCCCTTTGCCTTGTCAGCTGAGCCATGCTTCCATCTATTAATACATCCAGTAACCCAATATCATGAGTTTTCTTCTATATTTTTCACTTTTGTTATAAAGAATATGGGTCCGTCAAAAGTAAGACGAAAGATTTTTTAAATAGGGAAATTTAAAGTTTAAAATAAATGTATGCTTTAAAATGTTAATTTTAAAGACATAAATTTAGAAATGGAAAAATAATCCTGTTCACAAAAGTAGCAAGGAGGAGGAGATGGAGTACAACATTCATAAAATATGTAAGAATAAACTTGGCTGGGCGCAGTGGCTCATGTCTCTGTAACCCCTTTGGAAGGCTAAGGCAGGTGGATGACTTGAGGTCAGGAGTTCGATACCAGCCTGGCCAACATGACGAAAACTCATCTCTACTAAAAATACAGAATTAGCTGGGCATGGTGGTGCACACCTGTAGTCCCAGCTACTCGGGAGACTGAGGCACAAGAATCACTTGAACCCGGGAGGCAGAGGTTGCAGTGAGCCAAGATCGCACCACTGCGCTCCTGCCTGGATGACAGAGCGAGACTCTGTCTCAAACAAAACCAAACCAAACCTTGATTTTAAAGTCTTCGCTTAGAATGAGGCAACATAATCATAGATTATGGGAAGAGGAGAAGAGGAGAAGACATTCAATTAATAGTACTGGAACAACTGGGTATCCATTTAGGGGAAAAAATCAAGTCAAGTATTCATTTCACTCCAAAATGCAAAATAAATTGCAAATGGTTCAAAAGGACACACATGAAAACTAAAGGAAGGAAAGAATGAAGGAAGGAGGGGAAGAAATAAAAGTTAAAAAAAATTAAACTTCAAAAAAATTAGAGGAAAATATAGATGGATAACTACTGGATCTTTGGAAGGAATGAGCTTTCTTAAAATGAAATCAGTACAATGAAAACTTGTGCTACATTTCATTCTACAAAAATATGGAATATACATATGTATATACTGTATATCAAACAAGATTAAAAGAATAATTTGGAGAAAAACACTGTAAAATAACAATGTCCATTATATCTAAAAGCGCCCAGATGTGGTGGCTCATGCCTGTAATCCCAGCACTTTGAGAGGCTGAGACGGGTGGATCTCTTGAGGTCAGGAGTTTGAGACCAGCCTGGGCAACACATGGTGAAACCCTGTCTCTACTAAAAATACAAAAAAAATTAGCCAGGCATGAGGCATGCGCCTGTAGTCCTAGCTACTCAGGAGGCTGAGGCAGGAGAATCACTTGAGCCTGGGAGGCGGAGGTTGCAGTGAGCCAAGATGTCACACGCACCATTGCACTCCAGCCTGGGCGACAGAGTGAAACTCCATCTCAAAAAAAAAAAAAAAAGTGTATCTAAAAGCATATATTTAAAATACATGTCTATTTATCAAGTAAGCTCATACATAGCTTTTTTAATGTTAAAGTCGAAAGGAGACAATAAAGACCCTAATAAATGGATACATAACACTGTTTGATAATAAACAGGAATAGTTTAAAACACATGAAAAATGTTCAATTTTACTAGTGAATCAAAGACACAGAAAATTTAAAATTATGCAGTATGTTCCCTATATGAAAGTAGTCACAATATAAGGGGAAAACACCCCCTTAGTGAGGTCCAGTCTGTTATGAGGTGCCTTTCTGTCCACCCTATGCATTTGTGTTAGCTGGCACAGATGTGACCCTTTCTAACAGGGAATACGGTAATTTATACCAAGAACCATAGAGATATTTTTTATTTTTTGACATAATTCCAACTTTAGGAGTCTATCCTATGCAAATAACCAAAATTGCCACAAAGATTTTTTTTTAATCAAAGCATTATTTAAAATAGCAAACGACTTAAACCAAATGTTTAAAATTAAATGAAATGATTGATGGAATGATGATAGTATAAAATACCACAGCACTGAAGAAAATTCTCCCTGCAAATTTTAACATGAAAAATAATGTTAAGTAAATAAGCAGGATACAAAGTTCTATTTTCAAGTACAATATGAACTCAACTATACAAAAATGGGAGAGGAAGTTAAATTGTGATGAACAAACAGTGTGAAATTACAGATGATTTAAATTTTGTCTTTTATCACTTTTTGAATTTTCCAAATTTTCAATAATAGGAAAACAACCATTTTATAAGCAGAAAGAAAACATTTAAGAGTGATCCTGGGAGAGTGCTGGATGTTTGGGGGCAGGGGTAAAGGGGAATCAAGTTGCACTTTTCAGCACTTAGAGGTGGTTTTTCAGGTACCACAGTACTCGAATTTTTTTTCCTATAAACCAAATTCTTAGTTCTGGTTTAGTGGAGAACAGCAAAGAACAGCAAAAAAAAGTTGGATGTCATGGAACAAAACTAAAGACAAATCAGAGAATAATAAAGGAAATTTTGAAGAAGTTTTCCAGTCATATCTTGAGCTTTTAGGGCAACAGTTTTTTGGTGGCTTATACCTACCTGGGCATATTTACGAGGGCTCAAACTATCACTCTCTTCTCAAATAGCTTTTCCACTGGTGACTAGAAAGGACCATATCAAAACCAAAAAGCAGGACAGCACAATAATCTTAGCTAAATTATCTTCAAGTCTTATTTAAGATAAAGGAAATACTCCTTCAAAATCATACAAAGAAGAGAGAGACAAAATAAATGTTCTAGCTTTAAGGAAGATGCCCACTCCCCTTTACTCTTTCCTTGCCTGTTTTAAGGGAGATAATGCCTGATTCAAAACATCGGTATGTCCAAAATACATATTTGGAGCTAAAAAGTGAAGGTTTGGTGTGACCAGAGAACAACTGATGAATGGACAAGGCAGGAAAAGGATGAGTGGTGAGAGGCAGGGACACCCTGGCAAAGGGAAGGGGAGGAGCAAGCTTGGGAAGCAGCCTGAACACATAAACCTATACAAAGCTTGGGCAGCTTTGAACACTTGCTTTTCATTTTCTTAAAAGTAAACTTTGAATAGGAATGAGAGATAGAGAGTGAGGCAGACAGACCAAGCAGACACTTGCACACACAACAAAACTTGAAAAATAGACTGAGTTTAAGTGAGTATATAAAATAAAAATTTCAAATATAAACTCAAATTTTAATTTTCCCATTCATTCAAAGCATTCAAAGCTTCTGCATCACTGAACAGCTTCAGGAGAGAGTTGTAAGCATTTCTCAGTTGTACCAATTCCTTTTTTATTTCTTAATTTTAATTTTTAAATTGCTGTGTTATTTTGTTTGCTGTTCCTTTTCAAATAAAAACCACCCCCTGAAAGAAATCAGACTAATGTTTTAACAACTTAAGAGCCAGAAGCAGCAGTCCTTTGGGGGTACAAAAATTAGACAAGACTAAAATTAAAATATGGTATCACGAAGCTCACAATTTTAAGACCTAAGTAGCTATGAGCTATGTTTGGTTATTTTGAGTCATTTAAACTCTCCCAAGAGACTTTTTTGACCATCACAACTGACCAAAAAAAACTGTTCCCAACTAAAAGCAGACATACCATGTGACTCATCAGACTCAGATATTGTGTTAAACACACAGACCACTTGACTTCCGCAACCATGAGAAAACAGAAGGCATCCATCCCATTAAGATACCAGAATACAAAAAACTTTGAGGCAGGAAGGAAATTTTTATGTGGTAATGACCTTTATCATTAATACCTGAACAGCTTACTACCTAAGCAATGAACAGGACCACACCATTTTATTGACTTGTGATCTTTAGAACACAATTCCGGATTATTAGGAAAACAAATCTAGGAGAGGGGAAAAATACCTAAAATGGAATAAAAAGTAAATTGTATAGTTGGTTGTCATCAAGGATATCCTGTAATTCAAGTAAGCACACTGGCAAACACTCCCATAAATCAGTTTATAAGTTCAATTCTATTTAGCAATTTTCTAGACTCTACTACAGGTCTAAGATTGCAAATTTAGTTCATCAAGAGGCAAGGCTGATAAAATCACAAAACTTGAATTCAATTTCAATTACAGAAGGTGGTCACCATTAAGTGATATACAGACCATCTTATCTGTCATTAAGTGAGAGAGACTATATTATCTAGTCCATCTCCCTCATTTTATGGAAGTGAGGCCCAAAGACATTTAGCTATTTGGTGGAAAACCTTGGATTAGTCCATGTCACCTAACCTTCAGGTGAAGCTCCCATTCTAGCTGAGAGTCCACAGTGCAGTGACCACTCCAGGACACTGTACTACCCCTGCAGCAAAGTTGGATATCAGAACACTGATAGCCAGCGCTGAGTCCTGGATTATGTAGCATCTAATAGCCCTAGCACTCATGTCCATATCTAACACTAAGTCATTGCTTCCTATCTCACAATTACCGATCTGTGGATCAAACAACTGGCTTCTGCCTGCTTTCTTCGGATGACCAAAGAATGACAATTTTATCCCAAACTTGCTGGAAACTAAAATATTATGACTAAAGGTTTCTTGAAAGCTATTAAGATTTCAATTACAGAAGTTGATTACCATTCAGTAATGTAGATTTAGTCTGGGACTCTACTTCTAAACGTATATTTAGCTGTGCGCCCCAAAGTTAGGGTCTCAAAATCTTATACAGTGTATGAGGTCATGGGAACTCCTTGTTCAGGACCCTTAGCATGAGGGCAACCTAAGTGTACATATATTCAGATCTCTGGAATATGCCATAGGTAGTGAATAACAGAGGGGAAAAAAGATTTCTAAAATATAAAAATGCACTATTTTCTTTCCAAACTGGATATTTTCTGCCCCATATATAAAAATAAAATGTTTCATGTAAAAATGTGAAAATATCCATAAGTATACAAATTGCAAAGTGAAAGTGACCTCACAATCCTACCTCCCATAATATCCAGTTTTAACTGTTGAGTGAGAGACTGGAGTTACACCCCCTGGATTTAAATTCTGGCTCTGCCACTTATGAACTGTGAGAACTCTCAGGGTGTCAGTGTTCTTATCTATAAAACAGAGATAATGACAGCATATGAAAATTAATAACTAATATTTATCGAGTGTTTTATAAAGCATAGGCATTGTTCCAAGCACTTAAAACATATAACTAATTTTAATCAAGTGACTGATTGATATGTGTTAAAGTCCTTAGAATAGTGCCTAAGACTCAGTCAAGTACTCATTAAATGTTAACTGTTGCTATGTCCTTCCAAAACTTTAATGCATAAACACACACACATAGTCTCAATACAAGTGGGCTATTAATACAAATAAGTTTTAATACAGTTTTAATACAAATAAGCTATTGTGTAAACTGCTTTTTTGAAAGGTGTCTACGATCTTGTAGACACTTTTCAATATTAATACAAATGGACCTACTTCATCTTTTTTAAGAAGCACATGGTAATAATAGTTGCTAACATATACTGAGTTATTTTGTGCTAGACACTGTGCTTTATGTGTATCATTTCACTTAATCCTCATGACATCCTTAGAAACCATGTGTCACTCTTCTGATTTATAGAAGAGAAAAGTGAGACTTAACTGGATTAAGTTATTTACCCAAGATCATACAGCTAGACATGGTGAAGCCAGCTTTTGAACCCTGGTTTCTCTTAAACTAAGCGATCAGCATACTGTACCTTCTGTTAAGCGCCATAGTTTTAAACTAATGCCCACTAACAGATGTTTAAATGGCTTCCATTTTTAGGGGGTATTTTTAGCTATGCTGTAATAAACATCAAGGATCTCAGACTATGCACTCTTTCTCTTATTTCCTTATTATATACTTCCAGATGTGCAATTGTTGAGTCAAAGAACATTTGCATATAAAATTCTGATATACACGGCCAGACTGCTTTCCAGAGAGACAGTACCAATTGACCATCAATAGTTATATGACAGCACCAACACTAGGCAATGTCCATCTTTTTAATTTTTGTCAGTTTGATAAGGTTAAAAAAAAAACTTTAGTTTTGCTTATACATTCCTTTGATTGCAACTACTTAAGCATATTTTTATATATTTTATGTAACTATTTCTTTTGTAAGCTGCATGATTTAAGACTGTTGCCTACTTTTCTATTGAAAAATTCATTCTTTGATTCCAACTATAATTGAACAATGTAACTATCACAGGCCATTTTAAATAGCTGATATCATACCATAATGCCAATATTTACATAATTTCTACTTATACAACAGAAGAAAAAGAGTGTGCTTTAGCTCATGCAGGAACTATATTTATTACATGAGAAGTAGACACTTTCCTATAAATCAATAGGATCAAATCAAAACTACTGTCACCTGACTCGAAAGTTGAGAATGTAAGTAGAAACAGTTTTCCAAACTAAGATTTTCTGTTATTCAGATGTGACATTAATACTTCATTGTTTATTTATTTGGACCAGCATATATCATTTCTTTTTAAAAATTAATGTCAGTTTACTCTGGTGTTTTGTTTTTGAGACAGTCTCCCTCTGTCACCCAGGCTGGAGTGCAATGGCGTGATCTTGGCTCACTGCAGCCTCAGCCTCCCGGGTTAAAGCAATTCTCCGGTATCAGCCTCCCAAGTAGCTGGGATTACAGGTGCCCGCCATCACGCCCGGCTGATTTTTTGTATTTTTAGTAGACAGGGGGTTCCACCATGTTGGCCAGGGTGGTCTCCAACTCCTGACCTCAGATGATCCACCCGTCTCGGCCTCCCAAAGTGCTGGGATTACAGGCCTGAGGCACCGTGCCTCGCCTCAATTTACTCTTTGACAGAAAATTTCCCAGCTTAGATCATGATTATCTGGAAATCAACTAAGCATTATCCTTATCTCCATCCTTATCACCACTGTTGTTGTCATGGATACCATTTATAAAACACCTTCTCTGTGCCAGGCAGTACTGTGTGCATTATCTTATGTAATCTTCACAACAACTCTATGAGGTAGGTACTATTTCTCCATTTTAGAAACTGGAAACCAGGGCACAGAGAGGTTATTTACCAGAGGCCTCTCAACTGGAAAACGTCAGAGCAGGGATGTGAACCCTGTTCACTCTAGAGCTGTTGTTCTAATGACCATGCCTACTTTTTACAACCAGAGTCAGTTAAACAAAGCTAAAGCCGGGCCGGGCGCGGTGGCTCACGCCTGTAATCCCAGCACTTTGGGAGGCCGAGGCGGGCGGATCACGAGGTCAGGAGATCGAGACCATCCCGGCTAAAACGGTGAAACCCCGTCTCTACTAAAAATACAAAAAATTAGCCGGGCGTAGTGGCGCGCGCCTGTAGTCCCAGCTACTTGGGAGGCTGAGGCAGGAGAATGGCGTGAACCCGGGAGGCGGAGCTTGCAGTGAGCCGAGATCCCGCCACTGCACTCCAGCCTGGGCGACAGAGCGAGACTCCGTCTCAAAAAAAAAAAAAAAAAAAAAAAAAAAAAAAAAAAACAAAGCTAAAGCCAAAAATAAATCTGTAGCTTCCTAAAGGCAACTCAAGATAATTACTGGTCTTCTCTTACATGATCACCTTATTTATTCTTAGTAAATCTTAAATGGTTTTATAATTCCTTGTTTTAAAGAAACTTAAAAGGATCAACTCGTCTAACCTTCTAACAAAGACAAGGCTGTGTTGCTGTGCCTGATTCAAACTGCCCTTCTTGCCCAAACAGCTCTGTACGCTTTTTAAAGAGTTTTATAAGCTGTTGGAAATCTATGCAATTATTTCAGACTATTTAAAATATGTGTTGTCTATCTTATGCTGTCTTCATTTACTTATCTAAATAGGAAAAAAGTATCAGAATGCTTTCTACATGAACAGGAAGACTAACCAACGTTGAATGGCAGCCAGTCTTATCTCCGTCCTTATCACCACCTTACCATGTCATCCTGGCGAAGATGCCATCACAGGAGTCAGGGTTGAAGTCCAGGTTTAAGGTGCATCTAGATGGGTTCCCAGGACGCCTGAAGTAGCCTCAAGAGGCCCAAAAGAAAAAGCTCCTCTGGCACAGTCTCCTAATGGTGACAAAGGAGTCCCTCTCATCTGCTTGGCAGCCTTACAATCAGAGCGTTCTTACATCTAACCTAATTATTTCCCACTGAAATTCAAACCTAATTCATTTATTTTTTATTCTCTATAAAAATGAAAAACATCACTGTGGCAAGTAACTTGCTCAATTTCTCACAGAAAATAAAGAAAAGGTAGCTGGAATCAGTACTGACTTTGATTCTCTTTCATTGCATAATCAAAAGTTCTTATTTTGCTAAGGGAAGAACTGCTTATCCGCCTCAAGAAAACTGTGAAACTGATTTGAAAATAACATTGCCTTTCTGAAATGTTCATGACTACTATATATCTTAGAATTTAGAAACAGAAACCCTTCATAGTACTTTTAAAGGTCTTTTTAGTAAAAATAATAACCATGGGTAACTTTTATCAAACACTTCTGTGTTAGCTACAGTACTAAAGGTTTGGCACGCATGCTGTTCTTTGATCTTTACAGTTCTATAAAGTAGGCGCTTCCCACATTTACAAATAAGGAAGTAGGCTTAGTTAAGTCATCATCCCAAAGACCTACAGCCAGTAATTGGAACCTGTCTCCCTAAGCTCAGAACCCTCAGCTATATGGTCTTTCATCAGACTTTTATTTTTTAAATGTGTAAGCTTCCCTTTTTAGAGTATGTTGTTCTAGAAAGCATCAAGCTCTTTATAAAAAATTGTATTTTTCTCATCTCTTTCATTATAAACCGTGTGGAAAAACAACCACCTCAAGGTTTCACAAAGCTAAAGAGAGTCACACTTAAGAATGTAGCAAAAAAAAAAAAAAAAATTTTTTTTTTTTTAGCTCGCTGAAACTTCTGCCTCCTGGGTTCAAGTAATTCTCCCTGCCTCAGCCTCCTGAGTAGTTGGGATTACAGGTGCCCACCACCACGCCCGGCTAATTTTTGTATTTTTTCGTACAGACAGGGTTTCACCATGTTGGCCAGGGTGGTCTTGAACGCCTGACCTCAGGTGATCCACCCGCCTCGGCCTCCCAAAGTGGTGGGATTACAGGCGTGAGCCACCAAGCCCAGCCTGCAAACATTTTTTTAAAACTAAGGGAAAAAATGTGTACTAAGACTTAGAAGCATGAATATAAGCATAGAGCTTTTGCACCAGAAACAGTCCATTTTGAGACTCTGTTCCTTTAAACTATTTAAACATTTATTATCACAGCTAAACCAACTATTTTATTTTCACAGCTCTATAATAAAAAGATGCTCCTTGACTTTCAATGGGGCTACATCCCAATAAACCAATCCTAATTTGAAAACATCACTAAGTCGAAAGTGCATTTAATAGTGGCAGCAGAGCAGACATTCCCCAACTTACAATTTTTCCACTTTATGATGGTCCGAAAATGAGGCACATTCAGTAGAAATCATAATGACCTCCTCGATGGTCTTATATCCCAATAAACCCAACCTAAAGTTGAAAATTCATAAGTCAGGGACTGTCTGTATTTTGACATCTATTTGGGCAGGCCCCTACTCTTTTTCCTTTTTTATCCTCCAAATTATTATACTTTTTCATATGAATTCTAGAAATCTACTTGGAAAGTTCAATTTAAATTACTGTTGAGATTTTGATTTGGTCCCTATCATCTTTTGAGAAGAGGAAAAGCATGATTTAAACTATCCAGCCTCAGCTGATTTCAGCTTCAGGGCTGACTTTAGCTACTTTGCCAAGGTATTTCTGTCAGCTAGGGGACAAGTATCCAAACTGAGAGTTAAGGTTTTTAAAGTACTTTTAAAAAATTGCATCCAAGCTTACATTGTTATTGATTATAGAAAACAAAATGAGATATTCAACAAACCTAGTAGATAGTATTTGCAAGACACTTAGGCTTTCAGGGTGACCAAATAAAGACAAACCTGGAAGAAGCCAACTAAGCTAACAGTTTCATCGGCTTTAGGTAAGGCTTTAGGTACTAGCACCTATCAATGTACCAAGCAATATGACAGTAGGAAGAGACCCAAATAGTAGGAGACATGATATGAGCATGCTAAGATCCTATAAAATTGTCGAAAAAAGAGTTAAGACTAACCCATATAAACAATTAGCATATAAACAATTAGCCTGGGTGGACCTTTCTGATACAAGCAGGGCTTTAGAACAGGGGAAGATCAGTGTGGGCTGCAGTGCCCAATAAAAACTAACAGATCAAATAGTTCAGCTCTAGCTTAACTAAATGCCTGGTGGTAATCAAAATTTAGTGACAGCTATTCAGAAGTCTGTGTGAAAAGAAATAGTGATTATGTCAAGTTGGTTTATAAATCAAGGCTGGGCTACACTTACAGCCTTCCAATAAAAGGGCAAAGATCCCATAAGCAAGCATCTCTTAATTGCAGCAGCTACTCTAGATCATATGCCTAAACTGTGGCCAGCACTAGATTAACCCAATGGGAAATCCCCATGCTTTGTGGCTTATAGGTTATTCAAAACCAGAATCTGATCCTACTCTCCTTATACATGACCTGAAAAGTCCCTCCTCCACTGGACTTGCATCCATAAAAACTCCACCCAGTTTCCTGACATCACGGAAATTTACTAGTCCACTTGGAAGACCTAGTATGTAAGCTCATCTATTTGTGGAAAGAGGCAATTCTTTCCAAAATTACTGAGTCAGAAATTTTTACCAGCTCTAGACTTTTTTTTTTAAGGGGAGAAAGTTTTATCTTTTTTTTAAATTTTACTTGAATAAACAGGATAAGCACTATATCCCCTTCCAAGGAGCAAAAAATACTGCTCAAATAGCTGGAAAAATTGGTCAGGAGGAACTGGAGTGGGAATTTGCTTTAAATTTTTAAAATTATATGCAAACTCCATGGTTATTTAATTTTTAAAGAATTATGAGATAAGATATCTCCATGATTTCTTTACTCATTTGTCATTCCAGAAAACATTACTCAGGGTAGACAGCTCTTCCTTCCTCAATTATGTCCTTTGAAATGAACAGAAAACTTACCTTTGAGTTGGTTTTAAGGCGGTTTCACTAAAATCAGGGAGTTAAAGACTATTTAACCCTTTGAGGTTCCTTCGAGTCCTCCTACTGCTGTGTGTGTGTGTGTGTGTGTGTGTGTGTGGTTCCTTCCAGTTCTCCTACTGCTGTGTGTGTGTGTGTTTTTTGAGATGGAGGTCTTGCTCTATTACCCAGGCTGGTCTCAAAGCCCTAGGCTCAAGAGATGCTACCACCTCAGCTTCCCAAAGTGCTTTATACTTTATACTTTTAAAAGTACGAGTAATTACTCGTACTTTAAATTAAATCGAGGAACAAAGCGGGGTGTGAAGTTTTCACACACATGCCTCAGGACTCTATTTCTAATGAGATGATACACTGTAAATCATGAAACACTAATTCACTTCATACTTTATAGCTTTGTATTAAGTGAAATTGGGATAATTTGGTGGGTTATACATATTTAGAAGTGAAGTAAATACTTCAAGAGTTGTGAAGATCAAACGAAAGAGGTAAAATGCTTTATAAAAGGCAAGACACTATTCAATGTAAGGTTATACATGCTTTAAAACAATAAATCGAAATCCAGGATAATGGTCATTTCTGGGAGAGAGGAAAGGGAAGGATTACCAAGGCATCTTCACTCTACCTGCAATGTTCTGTCACTTAAAGAAAATCTGAGGTAACAGGGAGAGACTTGGTAAAGATATGCAGTAGACACATGAATGTTCCTTGTATTTTTCTCCATAACTTTGTGTATGTTTGCAATAATTCATAATATAAACTTCAGTTACTAGTTTATACTGTAATTTTGATAAAATAGAAATGACAAAGATTCCAAGGAATTTTAAAGGTTTCTTATGGATAATTTTTTAAAACTATTTAACCTTATACATAAATACAGTATCTTGCTTTTTACTAACTAGTATCTACTCTCATTCATATAATCACCATTGCTTTTCTTCCTTGCACTTCCACCTTGCACAATTTAAATAACAAAGCACAACTCTCTCCAGGGCATGTGAACAAAGGGATTTCTAGGAGATGGGCTCGGTGGAAGTCGTGGTCCTGGGAACAGCTTCATAGAGAAGGAGAAAGCACAGGGACAGGCTGCCAGATTTCTGCAGTTGTGTCTTCAATGGGCTTCGTTATTTTGTTTCAATTATCATGACTTCCCAAAATACCAGAGAAACTCATATTTAGAAGTTTAAAAACCTATCCTATACATACTAAAATATTTCCAGATTAAATCATACAACATCAAGGATTTACTGCAAAATAATGCGAAGGGGAGTAGGTATGGGTATAGATGAATCAAGATTGGTCATGGTTTGAGAACTGTTTAAGTTGGTGATGTGCACACAGGGAGGTACAGTTTACTCTTTCATTTACTTTTGTGTATACTTAAATTTTTCCATAATGAAGTTTTTTTAAAAAAAATCTCAAAGCTAAAATAAATGACTTAAATATCATTCTATTAAGTCTTGTACACATTTCCATTTGTTAGGCCTATCCATGGCAAGGGGATCAGGGAGCCAGGCCAGGTTAGTCCTGAGGCACTGCTAGTCAGCTTGGTGCTCTTGTCTAAGTTACTCGGTCTCTTTGATTTTGAGTTTATGGATAAGATATCTATGTTCCCTTTAGCCATATCATGATTATTGGATTTATAAAACTGGCTTACAGATGTTGTATAATATAGTAAGAATTGCAAATGTTATAATGGTACACTGTGACCATATGGGAGTATCTTTCATCCCTCATTTATTTATTTATTTGAGAAACATTTAGGGAATGCATACTATGTGCCAGGCAGTGTCACATGTGGGTAGAATTCAAAGTTAAGTGACACAGAATCTCTGCCTTCAAGATGCACTCTAATCAGTCCGGGCGTGGTGGCTCATGCCTGTAATCCCAACAGTTTGGGAGGCCGAGGTGAGCGGATCACCTGAGGTCAGGGGTTCAGGGCCAGCCTGGCCAACATGGTGAAACCCATCTCTACTTAAAATACTAAAAAATTAGCCAGGCGTGGTGGCAGGTGCCTGTAATCCCAGCTACTTGGGAGGCAAGAGAATCACTTGAACTGGGGAAGCAGAGGTTGCAGTGAGCTGAGACCACACCATTGCACTCCAGCCTGGGCAACAAGAATGAAACTCCGTCTCAAAAAAAAAAAAAAAAAAGATGCAGTCTAATCATGGAAGACAGACATATAAACAAACGAACAATAACACAAAGTAAGTATGATAATGGGGTGATGGAGCTGAAAATACCAAAAGGCCTTAGTAGTGTGAGACAGCAAGGAATTGTAAATAATTTTGTATGAAGGGGCGAGAGAAAAAGTGGCAGGAGATGAGGGAGGACAGGAAAGTAGGAACCAGATTGAGAAGGACCATGAATGTGATGCCATGGAATTTGGATGGTACCTTGAAAAGTGGTAAGGAAGCCATTTAAAAGATTTTAAGTCTGAGTATGATGTGGTCCAATTTACAATTTAGATTGTTGGGGCAGGAAGGTGGATTTGGTGGTTGCTGGCAATGTTTGAGGAATGAAGGAAGAGGGGAGGAATGGAAGGGAGGTTTACTGTAATTATTAGATAACTAAAATGGTCTAGCAGGATATGACTGAACTGGGGCAGGGTTAGCGGAGATTACTGAGATACTGTTAGAATGCCTTCTTGGGTTTGGAAGTAGAGAAAAGAAAACATAGTGAGTTATATATGTAATCATTAATGTACAATAAAGGTAACAAGTTCCTTCTTCAAAGTATAAAAGAGACGAGTTTGGAAATGCAAGTTATTTCTCCCTCTGTCTTTCAAGATAACATAAAAACTGCAGCATTGAACAATAGTATGTATTCATCATGAACGGCTTATGTGCTTCAAGCATAGCACCTATAGGTACTGAATAAATGTGGGTTATATGTGAACATGATATATTATTAAACACATGAAATGGACTGGACCTGTTTTCTCTGGTCACTGCCACACAGTACAGATGGTAACTCCCTGCTGGCCAGATTAGTAGTGACGTGATAAAATGCACAAACAAAAAGAATTCTTTTTCAGGTGATTTTTACACCATTCTGTAATCTTTCCCCCCAGATTTGAAAACCATATCAGCAATGATCCTCACCATCATTTCTCAAAATAATGGAGAGGATAGTTAAGTTCTGGTTACTTAAGATTTAGACTACTCCTGACACGTAGACTCCAACAGGACACCCTTTTTTCTTACAAATTACATAGTGTCTTTTATCTGAGCTCCAAAAAGGGCAATTTTTTTTTTTTTTTGACAGAGTCTTGCTCTGTTGCCAGGCTGGAGTGCAGTGGCGCGCTCTTGGCCTCCTGGGTTAAACTGATTCTCCTGCCTCAGCTTCCCGAGTAACTGGGATTACCGGTGTGCACCACTACGCCCAGCTAATTTTTGTATTTTTAGTAGAGATGGGGTTTCACCATGTTGGCCAGGATGGTCTCAATCTCTTGACCTTGTGATCCGCCCACCTCAGCCTCCCAAGGTGCTGGGATTACAGGCGTGAACCACCGCACCCGGCCCAAAAAGGGCATTTCTAAAAGAAGTATCAGAGAGAAGCAATCAGTCAGTCCTCAGTGCCACAAACCACACGTACTTATGTTTCAATTTCTACAAAACAACAGCAATATTGTTTCCTCAAAACATATTATCTTCATTTGAATAAAGATAAAAAGTAAGGCACAGAAAGGTAGATTATCTAGACAATGTCCTGCTGTTAATGACTATTATTCTGAAATTAGAAAATTCTGCCTATCTTTTAACCATTACCTCCTTATACTTCCCAGATTTTCTCAGCAGTGAGGCTATAGTACCAAACGTCAAAACCTAGAAATCTGATCATTCTATTCCATACCCAGAACTTTATTAAATGCTAACACTCTGTTATTGACAATAATAAAAATAAATAATTCATAATTAACTATACATTAATTATGTGGTAGGTAATATGCTTAATACTTTATATACATTATCTCATTTGGTTTTGATCCTCACATTAGCCCTAACGAGTGGTAAATAATGTTACTGCCATTTTGCAACAGAAAAAATGGGCTCAGAGATGTGTATGTTATAAATGTTATAAAACCAAAACAAGCCTGTCAACACTCATTAGCCTAGGACTCTTCCACTATTCAGTACTGCTCTCCCAAGCCATGCGTAGGTGGGCAGGTGTTTGGCAAGCCTTGTCTAGGGTCACACATATAGAAACGGAGGCACCATTCGGCTCCCAGTCCAGGACCCCTCCCATTCTGCCTCCAATACTCCCATTCTTCTCCATAAAATAAATCATAGCCACTTACAGGGATCAATAAAGTAGAAAATCTCCGCCCTTGTTTAAAAGAAAAAAGATAAACATACAAAATAAGGAAGAAAAAAATATCAAACACAAACTGGCTTTGTCAACATAGCATAAAGGTCATGAGGATCTTAAAAAAAAAAAAGAAAAAAATCAGTAAGTATTTCTGACACAATCAAGGCCCCAAAGGAACTAGTTTAGAAAATAATGCATTTCAGCTTTTTAATCTGAGTCCATTTTTGTTTTTCCAGTATTTCTTCATGTGTTTTACAGTCCACATTTAACTGCCAAAGTTTTCAGTACTTATCAGAGACCTGGCAAAAGGTTAAAGAGCATTTTTCTGTTCCCAACCCACACAGAAAACAATGCCTACAATCAATCATCACAGAATCTACTGTCAAGTAGCAGGCAGGTGCAACTTTTCTCTGCTGCACTGTGTGTGTTGGGGGAAAGAGGTTTTGAAAGAAACATTAAAAACAAACCACATTTGGGGGGATAATTTCTTCTAAGTGACTTACATCTTGTAAGATATTTGGCTGTTGACAAGATGATCCCACCCTTGAATACACGGAAGTTGCACCCAGTCTCACAAAGCAGATTCAGTCACCCCAGGCAGAAGTCTGGACTTCCCTCCAAGACAAATATGGAATTCAATCTGTGTGATGCCTTGAATGCAGCTAATTAATTTGCAATCCTTTATTATGACCATATAAAGGAGGGAAAAGAGCTACTTTCCCAGTCCTTCCTTGAGGGGAAATCAAAAGGAAAACAAAGCATAATATTTAAATCGCATGGCAAAGTTCTTAAACTTTTGCACTAATATACACACCCTAGCTAATTCATCAGCATAATACCATACAGCAGATCACCTCAGTACTATCTTTCCTATACATGGTCATTCCAACGCTGTGCTAATTCTACTCAAAACGGAATGGATAAGGAGCTATAATGTCTCATTCTTTTTGCTTAGCCATTTAACCCTACAATTTTTAGAGTAAATGAATTGACCTTAATTCGTTGTATTATTTATATTTACTTACAGCTAAGTAAACAAACCACAGCTGAGTGAAAACTCTATCTAAAAATAGCCAAGAGCCGAAGCAGTAACAGCAACTTAATGAAAGTTGCTTTTTGAACCAATGAGAGCGTTTAAAATCCAAAATAAAGATTCACAGGAGGAAAATATTTTTAACCTAAAGCTAATGAGTACGGTGGCTCATGCCTATAATCCAAGCACTTTGGGAGGCCAAGGCAGGTGGATCACTTGATGTCAGGAGTTCAAGACCAATCTGGCCAACATGGTGAAACCCTGTCTCTACTAAAAATACAAAAGTTAGCCAGGCACGGTGGTGTGCGCCTGTAGTCCCAGCTACTCGGGAGGCTGAGGCAGGAGGATCTCTTGAACTCATGAGGCGGAAGATGCAGTGAGACGAGATCGTGCCACTGCACTCCAGCCTGGGTGACAGAGCAAAACTCCGTCTCAAAATAAAAAATACAAAAATAAAGCTAATGAGTAGACACATTTCAAATATGGTTAGCTGTCTCCCAAATAGCTGTAGTCTTTTAGAATGGCTCTATCTCAACTGCACAGTAACTATCCAAGCTCAAAAACCAATCGGAGTCCTCTGTGGAATATTTAAAACCATTCTCTACTAACTACCCCCCAAACATCTGCATATGGCATATATAGGAAATTGAATTACAAGCTATGAATTTTCTGAAATCCTTCAGAGGCCAGCATCCACTCATGAGGAACCAAAACTATTCATAATGAAAGCCTGATCCACCATACACTTCCATTAGGCAACTCCAGCTCCAAGTTTTGCTCCTTCCTTAAAAGTACTGGACCCCACCAACCACAGTGAAAATGTATTTTCCCATTCTCTCATCATCACATTTAAAAAACAAAGTCTTAGGTGAATTCTTTTAAAACTAAAAATGAATTAGTATTTCTTCAGATACCTATGAATCTACGTCTAAAACTGTGCAACTAGACTGGCTGACTTTGAATCCCTAATTCCATTCCTGCTGGCTGTGTGATCTTAGACAAGTTACTAAATCTGCCTGCGCCTTGGTTTTCTCATAGATCAAAAGGATTGTTGTGAGTTAATATATGTAATGCACTTAGGGCAGTACCTGATTCATGATAAGGGTCAATTTGAAGAAATTATCATTATCATTATCACTGCTATCATCACTGTACCTTTACAATTACACTGTTAACATGTCCCTTTTGTCATCCTCCAATATGTGGAAAAATCTACCAAAAGATAATTAGGATCTCTCTACTAAGCCAAAGGAAGTAATTCATAGATAGTTTGGTCAGCAAGTTACATATTACAAATAACATCATAAAGATTCAACTAAAATCATAGTTTAAGATTCAAGCCAGGCATGGTGGTTCACACCTATAATCCCAGTAATTTGGGAGGTGGAGGTGGGAGGATCCCTTAAGCCCAGGAGTTCAAGACCAGCCTGGGCAACAAAGCGAGGCCCTGTCTCCATAAAAAAAAATTTAAAAGCGCTGGGTGCGGTGGCTCACGTCTGTAATCCCAGCACTTTGGGAGCCCAAGGCAGGTGGATTACTTGAGGTCAGGAGCTCGAGACCAGCCTGGCTAACATGGTGAAACCCCATCTCTACTAAAAATACAAAAATTAGCTGGGCATGGTGGCATACACCTGTAATCCCTGCTACTCGGGAGGCTGAGGCAAGATAATTGCTCAAACCCAAGAGGTGGAGGTTGCAGTGAGCTGAGATCACGCCACTGCACTCCAGCCTGGATGCACAGAGAGACTCAAAATAAATAAATAAATAAATAAGAATCAATCAGCTGGGTGTGGTGGCACACTGGTAGACCCAGCTACTTGGCAGGCTGAGGTGGGAGGATCGCCTGGGCCTGGGAGGTACAGGTTACAGTGAGCCGTGATCACATAACTGCCCTCCAGCCTGGGTGATGGAGACACTGTCTCCAAACTAAAAAATAAAAAAAGATTCATTTGGATCTCTTATAGGCAATTGTTGCAGATTTCAGGTAGCTCCTAAAGTCTTAAGATTAAACTTTTGAAATCACAGTGCCAAAAATGTTTTGTCTTCGAAATAATCCCAGTACATTCGGAGAGACAAATGCATCTACAATCAGGCGACAACACTGAAAATAAAATTGTAGCAGTTTGAATACGGGATTAAATGAGTTAATTTTTTCCTGGGGTTCAAAAAAAGAAACAGCAGCAAAAAAGGGTACTTACGATTGAAAGTTGGCCGGGTGCAGCTGCTCATGCCTGTAATCTCAACACTTTGGGAGGCCAAGGTGGGCGGATAACCTGAGGTCAGGATTTCGAGACCAGCCTGGCCAACATGGCGAAACAACGTCTCTACTAAAAATACAAAAATCAGCCGGGCATGGTGGTGGGTGCCTGTAATCCCAGCTACTCGGGAAGCTGAGGCAGGAGAATCACTTGAACCCAGGAGGCAAAGGTTGCAGTGAGCCAAGATCACGCCATTGCACTGCAGCCTGGGTGACAAAGCAAAACTCCATTTCAAAAATAAAAAAAGATAGAAAGGTCTGGGTTATGACACAGAACATATGCAACATGAATATGTCATGGTTATGAACATGTAGCCAAAAGAAAAAAGCTGGAGGGCTCATGCTACCTGACTTCAAACTATACTACAAGGCTACAGTAACCAAAACAGCATGGTACTGGTACCAAAACAGAGATATAGACCAATGGAACAGAACAGAGCCCTCAGAAATAATGTCGCGTATCTACAACCATCTGATCTTTGACAAACCTGACAAAAACAAGAAATGGGGAAACAATTCCCTATTTAATAAATGGTGCTGGGAAAACTGGCTAGCCATATATAGAAAGCTGAAACTGGATCCCTTCCTTACACCTTATACAAAAATTAATTCAAGATGGATTAAAGACTTACATGTTAGACCTAAAAACCATAAAAACCCTAGAAGAAAACCTAGGCAATACCATTCAGGACATAGGCATGGGCAAGGACTTCATGTCTAAAACACCAAAAGCAATGGCAACAAAAGCCAAAATTGACAAATGGGATCTAATTCAACTAAAGAGCTTCTGCACTGCAAAAGAAACTACCATCAGAGTGAACAGGCAACCTACAGAATGGGAAAAAATTTTTGCAATCTACTTATCTGACAAAAGGCTAATATCCAGAATCTACAATGAACCCAAACAAATTTACAAGAAAAAAACAAACAACCCCATCAAAAAGTGGGCGAAGGATATGAACAGACACTTCTCAAAAGAAGACATTTATGAAGCCAAAAGACACATGGAAAAATGCTCATCATCACTGGCCATCAGAGAAATGCAAATCAAAACCACAATGAGATACCATCTCACACCAGTTAGAATGGCGATCATTAAAAAGTCAGGAAACAACAGGTGCTGGAGAGGATGTTGAGAAATAGGAACACTTTTACACTGTTGGTGGGACTGTAAACTAGTTCAACCATTGTGGAAGTCAGTGTGGCGATTCCTCAGGGATCTAAAACTAGAAATACCATTTGACCCAGCAATCCCATTACTGGGTATATACCCAAAGGATTATAAATTATGCTGCTTTAAAGACACATGCACACGTATGTTTATTGTGGCACTATTCACAATAACAAAGACTTGGAACCAAGCCAAATGTCCAACAACGATAGACTGGATTAAGAAAATGTGGCACATATACACCATGGAATACTGTGCAGCCATAAAAAATGATGAGTTCATGTCATTTGTAGGGACATGGATGAAGCTGGAAACCATCATTCTCAGCAAACTATGGCAAGGACAAAAAACCAAACACCACATGTTCTCACTCATAGGTGGGAATTAAACAATGAGAACACATGGACACAGGACGGGGAACATCACACACTGGGGCCTGTTGTGGGGTGGGGGGAAAGGGGGAGGGATAGCGTTAGGAGATATACCTAATGTTAAATGACGAGTTAATGGGTGCAGCACACCAACATGGCACATGTATACATATGTAACTAACATGCACATTGTGCACACGTACCCTAAAACTTACAGGATAATTAAAAAAAAATTAGCATCACAGAATGAAAAATAAGCCACCGACTAGCAGAAGATAATTGTAACACATAAAAACAAAGGATTAAATACAATGGTAATACAATGATAGCTATTCTTACAAAGTTGTTTCTATGTCTCAGGTACTATTCTGAACAATATACATGCATCTTGAATGCATGAAGAATTCCTATATAAGAAAAACACAAACAACAAAATTTAAAATGAGCAAAAAACCCGAATAGGAATTTCACAGAAGAGAAAACATAAATGGCCCATAAACATAATAAAAGATGCTCAACTACAATTCTAATCAGGGAAATAAACATTAAAACCCCAAAGAGATACCACTTCATACTCTAACAAAAACCTAAAAGGCTGTGAATATCTAGTTTCGAATGAGGAAGAACAATGGGAAGACTATTCACTGCTGGTGAGGGTATAGATTAGTACAACTGCTTTGGAGAACAGTTTGATGCCACTCAATAGAGCTGAACACACACATGCCCAATGACCAAGCAATTCCACTCCAGGTACATACTGTAAAAATACTCCTGCACATGCAGAATAGGAGACACTGCATCATAACAATGTTCACTAGAACACGAGGCTGAGGTGGGAAGATGGCTTGAGACCAGGAGTTCGAGCCTGCACCAGTAGCTGGGACTATAAGCATATGCCACCGTGCCTGGCTGATTTTTTGTTGTTGTGGTTGTTGTTAGAGATGAGGTCTTCCTTTATTGAACAAGCTGGTCTCCAACTCCTGGCTTCAACTATCTTCCCACTTCTGCCTCCCAAAGTGCTGGGATTACAGGTGTGAGCCACCATGCCCGGCCAAGTTCTGCTTCTTAACCTGAGGTAGATACTTTGATGTTTCATTTTCCTTTATTGTACAGATATACTTTATATTCTCATATGTGACACAAGTCAAAATTTAAAAAAACAATTTAACGTTTATTCCCTTTAGATGAATGATGGGCAAATTTACATAATGAATTCATTACTGAAACAATGTATAGATTTCAGACTAGGAAAGTAACTATTTATAAAAGAAGAGCTTAAAACCTGCAACAGAAACAAAAACCCGAAACTGTAAAATTGAGTCAAACTAAAATTTAAAAAACAAAGCAATGATATAAAGTATCATTTGTCCAATGTGTTCTACAAAACGCTTTTTTCTTAAATATGTCTGAGGGAAAACAGGTTCTAGGAGTCAAATACGTTTGAAAAATGCTGGGTTAAACAACTGAACCTATGAAGGAAGGAACAGAACTTCTCAAGCTCTTGACTCCGGAATCTTTTTTACACAGCAGTTAACACCATGCTTCTTCTTGGATTTGTATTTCAGATAAACACAATCTGGGAAACATTTTATAACACAGAGGGCCACACCAGATTGAATATTGCCCCCAGGAATGAAATGAAAACAGGAATGGATTCTCCAGTAAGAGGTACCCAGATATCCTAATCTTCAGTAGCTGACCTAAATCCTGGACAAGTGGGATCAAACCCCATAACTAAATACAACTTTTTAGGAACTAAGTGGATAATCACTCTGTGTTGTATGAACATGTGGGCAATGTGTTTCCTACACAGCTTAAAAGTGCAACAAAAAAAGATCTAGGTGTAATATAAAGAATTTCTACCACTGTTAGGGTAATGGCGGACTGACAGGGAGAGGGTCTTAGATGTTACTTAAGTAAAGTTCAATAGAAGCTTCCAGCACAGATATTCATGTTTCAAATTGGATCGCTCCATTAAAAAGTTTTTCCACTAGACTTCCCCGAATCAAATTATAAATTATCTAATTTTCTACTAAAGTTTTCCCCAGGCACAGGGAATATGTGGACTGGACCTACAAAATTCTTCATAATGTGCTTTTATTACTATAGGAAAAGATGCACATTTATTTTAAAAACTTCTCTATACCACTATCGTAAACCTTTGCACACACTTATTTCTTTTGGAAGCTAACTTCTGAGTGGCAACAATATATATTCTTAAGAAAAAAGTCTGACACAATGCCTTTGTGTCTTAAAATATGTTAAAATATTATTTGAAAAGAGTCAAACATCTGTCTTTTCAGGGTATCACAGGGAGTCAAACTGGAAAATGTGGCACTGTCAGGAGTTTCTACCTGGTGAAGGGTAGCAGACTTTTCTCTTCAGAGGGCTCTTGAGAGGGTAGCATCCATTATCTTGCCAGTTTACCACAACCTAGGCCCAATCCTCAGCCTTATAGGTTCAGAAATTTATTTTTATCAGCATCAATAGGGTAGCTACATTGCTTAGAAGCAAACAAAATTAATCATGCTTCAACAGAAATCAGGATACAGATATATTAATACAGAATGACAAATATAACTGTGACAGAAATAGGAATGCCTGTTTATGGTCATACATGGCCAATACTTTCATTACAGCCAAACTCACACATGCAGCCAAATAAGAGGCCCCTGGATACACAGGCAATCAGAATAAAAAAAGAAGAACTGAACATTTAATAGTCTTCTTTCATTCAATCAATAATTTTTTTAATTAAGCAACTACTATGTCCAGGTAACCTTCTAGGTCCTGGGGATACAGAGGTCTCTGCTTACAGAAGTCATAGGTAAGTAGCAGGTGAAGAGTATGTGTTTCACAGAAGTTTATTACAATATATTAATAACAGCAAAAAATTTTGGAAGCAATCTAAATGTTCAATAATAGAGCTCCAATTAAATAACAATAAATCCAAATAATGAAAAATAATGCAGCCCTTTAAGAATAGCACTTGCAAGCCATAATTCATGACATGGGAAAATTATCATGATGGAAAAAGAAGCAAGCTATATATAGTGCACGATCCTATACACACACATACACACATACATATTTCCTATCCCTTTATATGCATAAGAAAACAAGCGGAAGGAAAGCCATATCTTTAGTCAAATCTTGTTTACTAAAGTACTATTAATGATTATCTTTTCTTTTTCTTCATACCTTTTTGCATTTTTCAATTTCCTAAAACAGCCTTACATGCCTTTTATCACCAGGAGAAAAATTACTTCTAAAGTAATTTCAGTCAACATGCATACTAAGAACTCTTCAGATTTATCTATTAGAAGCTGTGCATGAATGCCAGTCCTTGCATCTGCCTTGGAACTCACAGAGAGCTCTTTTCCTATGGCTTTAAACAATACTCAAAAAGAGTAGCATACCTGAATTTCCTAGTCCTATGTTTTTGTCATCCAACAGCCAGTCTTGTCTAGCTGTTTTCTAAACATTTCAACCAAAACATTTTTTTACAGATAACTCATACAGTCATCCTTTGATATGCATGGGGAATTGGTTCCAGGATCCCCCTTGTATACCAAAATCCATGGATGCTCAAGTTACTGGTATAAAATAGTGTAGTATTGGCATATAACCTACACACATCCTCCTATATACTTTAAATCATCTCTAGATTACTTCTAATACTTAATATGATGTAAATGCTACATAAATAGTTGGTATACCATGCTGTTTTTTATTTGTATCATTTTTTATTGTTGTATTGTTTTTTCTGACAATTTTGTTCCACAGTTGTTTGAATCAGTGGATGCAGAACCCATGAATATGGAGAGTCAATTGCATTTAATTATGCCCAAAGGTAAATGCATAACTTTTTCCCCACAGCTAATCTTCTAGCAACCCCATTGCTGTCCATGGCAAGCAGGCTTAGTTAATCTCTCCCATTCCCATTTCAGGTTCTTTAAAACCTCTTTCAAAATCTCTTTCATCCCACCTTATTCTTCATTCTCACTTCCATCAGCATATCAGTCCAGGCCCTAGTAACATTAATGTTACTAATGGCACTGTTGGTAACATTACTTACCAGCATTCAAGTGGGTCTTCCTGATGCCATTCTCTCCCATCCTGAAATCATTGCTCATAGAACTTGTATGATGTCATTCATTGGCTCAAAAACTTTTAAAGCTTTCCTTTTTCTACCATCCCAATCTAAATTTCTATGCCTGGCTTTTATTAAAGCCCATAATTTGGCCCCACCCTAGCCATTTAACTTTATTTTCCACTATTCACCAGTCTCCTCCCTCATCAACGAGAAGACATACCATAATCAACCTCACCACTAACCCTTGGAATATCTAAACTTAAAAATGGTCCTTCCTTTCCCCTTTACTTGTATTTAAAGAACCTGACGAACTATTCCTCCTCTGCTAAACTTTTCACAATTTCTTCAGCCTCATTTATGTTTCACGTTTTCAGAACATGTCTTGCCATTTATTAGGAATCTCACAATTAGGCACTCTCACGTAGACAGATTTACAGTCATGTATGTTGTCATCTTCTATTAAATTCCACACTCCTTGAAGGCAGGAGCCACGCCTTATTCTGTCCCCCAAAGTACTCAGAATGATGCAGAGCACACAGAAAGTACTCAAATCTTGTTGACTGATCCAGTGAGAAATGACCAACTTCAGTTCCAGCCTCTCTTTAACATGTACATAGCAATTTGGGCAAGTCAAAGCTCCATCCTAAAGGACATAATAGGGGACTCTTTAAGCACATTATGATGAAGGCCCTTTAGGGATAACACCAGAGTGATGAGGTGCCCTATACCAGGGATAATGGAGACAGAGTTCTTGCGATTCATCACTGGGGTCCTCAAAGCATCTTCCAAGGGGATAATAAGGAAGGACTCAAACACCTTTCAATCTCCATGAGACCAGGCATGAGGTCTTTTGAAAGAGTTCTTTAACTGGAGTGAATGTCAAAGAGAAGTGTAATAAAATAAAAGACCTGCTTGTTCATAAAGTGATACTACCTAAATCACCAAATCTCACTGAGCCTTGGTTTAACTCAAGAGGTTTCATGCCACTGTAAGAGGTGGTAACTGCCAACTGATAAGAAATATTTTCATATGCATAGTCGTAGTGCCCCATATTTATGAACTCCTTAAGAGTCTTCAAAAAGCTTTCTATATACATTATCCTTTATTTTCTAACTTTTCTAAATACAAGGTGAGAGAGACACAAAGTGTTCTATCAAAACAATCTTGGCTGGGCACAGTGACTTACGCCTGTAATCCCAGCACTTTGGGAGGCCCAGGTGGGTGGGTCACCTGAGGTCAAGACTAGCCTGGCCAATGTGGAGAAACCCCATCTCTACCAAAAATACAAAAATTAGCCAGGCATGGTGGTGCACGCCTGTAATCCCAGCTACTCGGGAAGCTGAGATGGGAGAATCGCTTGAACCCGGGAGGCTGAGATTGCAGTGAGCTGGGATCCCACCACTGCGTTCCAGCCTGGGCAACAGAGTAAGACTCTATCTCAAAAAAAAAAAAAAAATTCTCAGAGTCTACATATAACAAATATTTTGTTTTATTCTTAGTGTACTTTAAATACATCTATCCATATTATTCCTTTTTTTTTTTTTTTTAATTAGAGATAGAGTCCCACTCCATCACCCAGGCTGGAGTGCAGTGGTGCCATCATAGCTCACTGCAGCCTTAAACTCCTGGCCTCGAGTGATCCTTCCACCTCAGCCTCCTGAGTCACTGGGATTACAGGTGTGAGCCACTGCACCTGGCTGTTTACCCATATTATTCTAAAATTAAGAAACATTTCAGAAATTGACTACTCAATGATTTTATCAGTTTTCTGCCATGGAAAATGTAATGTTTTACGATTTTTAACGTTAATACCTAGCAAAGTTTCTATAGTGCTTTCTCAATAGGTATTTTGATTTGAACATTTTGTACTGAATCAGTGAAAATATATGGAATTTACTAAATGTAAATTATAAAAACTAATTTTCAATAAAATTTCTATTTTTAAAAGTTGAAATTTTACTTTAAAGACATAATTTGTATTTAGTTTCAGTGTGTAATGGCTGGCTTCTCAATAATGGCATTATTATTGTCTGGGCTCTAATCCTAAAATATAATTTTTTAAGAGAAGGGACTATTGTGAGATTTCTGTGGTTTCTTATAGCAAATGAATAGCGTCAAAAATGGTACAAATGGTACACAAACGTCTGATTCATACCACAGCATACAATCATCTGTAACAGACTTTTCACTGGTGAGGAAGTATACCTTGCAAAAACTAAGAAAAGAATGTTTACCCAGAGATCTGCTGCCGCTGCTGCTAATAAAAACTAACATTTACTGACTGCTTCCACATGCCATGCATATGCTAATAAACAGAACTGTATGCCATATATACTGTATTAGTTAATAATATGTAAGGCTTTTAAAACAACATCTGGCAAATAGTAAACCCTACATAAAAGTTTATCATCATCATCTTCATATCACTCAATTCTGAAAGCAAGGATTAATGACTCAAGAAGCAGGCATTACTGCTCTCCACTCCCCATTTTACAGATACAAAAACAAATTTAGAGAAGAACTTAAGAAATTTGTTTCAGGTCACACAGTTAAAATGGTGATGGATCTTGAGCTTTTTCTAATCACTATGTAATTTTGATTAACTGATCAAGTAGACCTTAAGCTGAAAATGGAAGAAGAGATACAAAAAGTTCAGATATTACTGTAACAATGAAAGAAGCTGGCTGGGCATGCTCTGAAAAAGAAAACTGAAAATAATGGGAAAGCTTGGGTCAATTATTTGTTGCAGAAAAACAAATGGGAAAGGTGTTAGCAACAAAGTGGTCTCAGGTCTGTGGAAACCCATGCCCAGAATATGGGTATTAAACAAAGAAAGAAAACTGACAATTTACAAATAAGTTAATATGATACTATTAAGCATCACTGAGATTTGATGAAATGGGACTCTGCACTAGAACAGGGCAAAAGCAAGGAAAGTAGAAGCATTAAGAATTGCTGGTATTCTAGAGACTGAGGCTGACACAAATAAGCTGTGATGGGGACTTCAACTTTTGGGATAGCCGCTAGAATTCTCCCACAGATAAAATCAATGTCTCTGATAAATGCCTTGCTAACCCTTCCACCTCTCAAATAGGAAAAGAAATATTCTGGATGTGAATGTGACCACTGGGAAGAAATTCGATGATAAATGGAAGTACTGGGAAACCGGAGAGCAATTTACCATGGAATTTTCAAGTTTGTTACAATAGCTGGGAATGGAAACATGGGACACAATTAGGCAACAAAAATTACAAAATGTTCAGAGAAAAGAAAAGTAAGTCCTGCCTGAGACTCAAAAAAGAAAGATGAGTCATCTGTTTTAGGAAGCTCTCAACAACAGAAGTCTAGTTAAACTAGCCTTGATTAATTAATTCAACAAATATTTACTGAGCATCCACTATGTGCCAGATACTGTTCCTGGCACCGTATAAAAATACAAATGACACAAAATACCAGCCCTTATGGATCTTATATTCTAGTGGGGCGAGGGGATGGAAAGAAAGTATAGGGGCTGGGAGAGGCATTACAATTTTAAATAAGGACATCAGAAGGTTTCATTGAGAAGGAGGTTTGAATGAGATGAAAAAGAATGATTTAGAAATCTGAAGGGAGGAGAGTACCACACAGCATGTATGGTAAGTGCAAAGGCCCTGAAGCAGAGGTATGCAGTAAGAAACAGCAAGGAGTTCAGTACGGCACAGAGAGAGTGAGGGGGAGTGGTAAGAAAGAGTTCAGAGAGGTGACAGGGGCAAGAACGTGTAAAACCCCGCAAAGACAGTAAGGACTTTGGATTACTCCTGAATTATGCCCATGAGAATTCACACTTATTAGGTTCCCTTTCACTAAATGCTCTCTTGTATTAAATACCTACTTTCACTAGATGTTATGAGAAAAATACAAAGGAAGGCAAACATGATTATTGCCCTGAAGACAGTGTCATTTTGTTCTGTTGGAAGTAAATTATAAATTGAAAATGAATTTAAAAGAATAACAAGGGAAATGTTCCATATCTATACATGATCTGATAAAGTACCAGACTGAAACTTGTGAGCTTTAGAATAATTCCTAGTTATATCACAAGAAGAATCCAGAAAAGAAAGATGAAAAAAAGAGACAAAGAAGGAGAATGAGTCAGAAAAACATGGTGGTGGTGGTGGTGGGGGACTTGTATAACCAAACAAGTGATGGACAGACTGACATAAAACCAGTATTGCTCCTATCCTCTTTCTTCTAGTCACAACAAAAAGATTAAAACTTGATATAAGAAACAGAGTTCTGGCTATAAACTGCAAAGGATATTAATGACAGAAAATGGGAAGATTCTGAAAAGACTGGCTGCACAAAGAGCTCTTCAATGAACTCAGATTTTCAAAGACACAGAAAAAGAAAGGAGGGACACATAACATGGATGCCTATAAAAGAAACACAGGATGGTATCAGGAAGTAAAATGTCCACAATGAGCTGAACTTAAGAAAATCAGCAAGGGCTACAAAAAGGACTTTTGAATTTATGTCTGGAAGAGAAAGTTTACAAAAGGCCTGGTATACACAAAAGGCTGAGTACGTTGGTTAAGGTAAATGGTGTAGTTAATACATGATAGGAAAAAAAAGGGGGGGAAAGAAACCCTTCACTTCTATTTTGCTTTTTAAAAATTCTACACTTGAATACCCCCTCACAGTTTACAAAGACCTTTTACATATTTCTACCTGGAGAGGTAGGTATGACGCCTATTTTATAAAAGAGAACTTCCAGTCCAGTGTCCATCACTCAATCCCTGCCTCTCTTCTCAGTCTAGGAGAACGACAGCAAAAAGTGGCGCGTTAGGATGAAAGAACTGATGCCCATGACACGTGAAGCGGCCATAAAAGACCTGCCCCCGACACACTGCAAATCTGACTTGACCAGTTGTCTACTGTGAGCCTGCATGGGAATTCTGCTGAATGCTATAACTCTTTAACAAGTCAGGAAGACCAAAGAGGTTAAGACAGGAGACAAAGTACTCCATCTTTCAGAGTGAGGAAAAAACACAAACATAACAAAAGAAAATGAACATGGCAAAAGATTAACTCTGTGTTTATCATTCAGCCGGAAGAAAATCCTAGATGATTATAAAACAGTTTCTGAATAGACAAAGATGGGCAATCACTGAGAATCAGTGTAGGTTCAGGAAGAACAAGTCTTGCCAAGTAACTTTATTTCTTTTGTTGGCAAAGCTATAAGACAAATCTATGTGATGCTCTGAAAGGTATTTAACAAGCTCCACTCTCCATTTCTTTCTGAGAGGAAGAGAGATGGGCTGAGTAACACATATACATAACCAATTAAATAACAAAACTCAGAATGCTCATAAATAAGTTCTGCAATATTCACTGGGCTTAGGCAATAGTGTTACCAATGATCTGGATAAAAGTTTTTCCAACATCCTTATCAAAATGTAGGTATGACCAGAGCCTGGAGAGAATAATGAAAAAAAGGAGAGCAGAGTCAGATCTAAAACAATTTTAACAGAATATTAACTGTAACAAATAAAATTTAATAGAGAAAATGTAAAGAATTATATTTGGGTTAAAAAAATCAAATGCTAAATACAAATTGTGAAAACTGTTGTATACATAAAAAAGCAACCAGGCCAGGCACGGGGGCTCACGCCTATAATCCCAGCATTTTGGGAGGCCGAGGCGGGCACATCACCTGAGGTCAGGAGTTCGAGACCAGCCTTGCCAACATGGTGAAACCCCATCTCTACTAAAAATACAAAAATTAGCTGGGCATGGAGGCAGGGGCCTGTAATCCCAGCTACTTGGGAGGCTGAGACAGGAGAATCACTTGAACCCAGGAGGTGGCAGTTAGTTGCAGTGAGCCGAGATCATGCCACTGCACTCTAGCCTGGGTGACAAAGTGAGACTCCATCTCAAAACACACACACAAAAAGGCAACTATCCCAGCACCTTGGGAAGCCAAAGCAGGAGAATTGCTTAAGCTCAGGAGTTCGAGAACAGCCTAGGCAATATAACGAAATCCTGTCTTTATTAAAATATTTTTTAAATTACATTTTTAAAGAAAGAACTAAAGAGTTTTTTCAAATAAAAGCTTGACATAGGCCGGGCATGGTGGCTTATGCCTGTAATCCTAACACTTTGGGAGGCAGAGGTGGGTGGATCACTTGAGGTCAGGAATTCGAGACCAGCCTAGCCAACATGGTAAAACCCCATCTAAAAATACAAAAATTAGCTGGGTGTGGTGGCACTCGCCTGTCATCCCAGCAACTTGGGAGGCTGAGGCAGGAGAATCACTTGAACCCGGGAGGCAGAAGTTGCAGTGAGCTAAGACTGTGCCACTGCACTCCAGCCTGGACAACACAGCAAGACTCCACTTAAAAAAAAAAAAAAAAGCTTGACATAAATTAAAGTGTGAAATGGCTGCCCCTAAAATTTATACAATCTTAATCTTGGGCTGAGTTGACACACACATATAAATAAAGTCATGCACAAGGAAGGTGAATGCCATACTCTACACTGTACTAGTTGGCTCATATCTGGAGAAATTATTCAATACTTAGTGATGCCCTATAGTCATACAAAGGGCAAAATAAATGTCCTCATAATTTGAAAATTAAGTCATCCTCTGGGAGTAACACCAGCCTGAATCAAATAGAGTGATGGAATTTAGCCATCACTGTAAGTAATTCCAAGAAAATGTGTGACTGAAAAGGGCCGGGGATACCCAAGTCTGGTCAAAAGTGAGTAGGTTATAGTTTCTGGGAGACAGGATTGGAATGTGAATTAAGAAAGCTGAAACCTTGTCAACTATGTTGACAGAAGGAGGTTATATTAATCTGAGGTAGTGGGGGCAGAGCAGGAGTTTAACAAGGAAGACTTTGCCTATGTGACCCCAACACTGTCTGAGGTGAAAGCACACTGACCATATCCCCAGAGCAGCGCTGGACAGCTGCATCCTTATAAAGACTCTCCATCAGGTTATCCTGACTTAGTGACACTCCCCATTAAGATTACCCATTTGATTACATGGGCTGGCTTCCCCTGTAGATTCTCCTATAGTGATGAGAGTGTGCTCACCAAACTATAAGCTTCTGTTCCACTCACAGTTATATTAATAAATTCACTAACTGGCATTCTTGGTTTTGTGTCAGTCTCTCCATCACTTGCTAACTATAAGTAAATTCCCGTAATTCTAGTGACTTCTGGAAAATGTTCAGAAAAATGTTCATAGCTAACGACCTAGGTAAGTGAGGTATATACCTTAAATATGACAATCCATATCCAGCTTCTATCCATCTGAGAAGCCCTATGTTCCTTTATGACAATTCTATTTGATGTAAAACGGAACCACATATTTTAAGAGAGAAAACAAAATAAAACACATGGAGGGGAGTGACCAGGAAGGCAAGAGGTCTGAAATCCATATTTGAACAAATTCAATGAAGATACTTAGCCTGAAAGAGAGATGTTAGATAGCCATCTTCAAATATTACTCTTGCAGTGACATAAAATTATCTCTAATTCTGAGATGAGAACCAGTTGAAAATTATATAAGGAAACACTTTCCAGTTAGCACTGTCCTATGCCTGGCACATAGCAAATGCTCATTAAGTTTTGACATATAGTAAATGCCCAACATTATTACCTCTTACTGTAGTTTGGATATTTAAAAAACATAAAAGAAATACATACTAGACACTGTCAGAAAGCCTAGGAGAGGTACCTAACCCTGCCAGAGGTAAGAGGTCAAGGCAGGCCTCCCTGAAAGAGATGCCTAAGCAGAATACCAAAGAAAGCACAGGAATTACCCAAGAAGTATAGGAAAGGGCATTCCAGAAAGTAGTGTGTGAGACCGAAGGTACAAGAAAGCTAGTGGTTCAGTGTGGTTGGAGAGGTGAGTAGGGGAGTGATGGAAGACAAGGCTGGAAAACTAAAAAGGAACTCATGTGTCACACTAAGGAGCCTGGAAGAGGCCATGGGGAGTCACTAGAAATTTTAAGGATGAAAGTTACATAATGAGATTCAAGTTTAGGACAGTCATTGTGGCAGCCACATGGAAGACAGACTGAAAGAAGGCAAGACTGGTAGCAGGGAAAGATGGCTAGTTCAATCACTGGGCACCTGAATGAATATTCTGGCACTGGAGGAAGAGCAAAGGCAGAGTTCAAGACATAGTTAAGGAAGACCTAAAAAATGACTAGATGTCAGTCATAAACAAGGAGGACGAGTCAAGGGTGATTTCCAGGTTTACAGCTTAAGAACCAAATAGAGAACAACGCCATGCACTGGGAAAGCTAAGGAGCACAAGAATGGCTCTGTGAAGGGAGAAGATAAAGTCAGCTCTGGGTGAGCAGAATCCAAGTTATCCATGGAACACACCAAAGGTGGTGATATCTAGAAGACAGATGGACAATGGGGTCTTAAGATCAGGACGGGGACCTGAGCAAGATATACCGGTTTGGAAGTCATCATTGCAGAGAAGTTATTGAAGATATCACAGCATATGAGATCACCCACACTCACAGTGCAGGGAGTGAGAAGAGGATTGGGGACAAAAGAGCACATTAACCATTTAAGGGAATGAAAGTTAGCTATCTTATGATCTGTTAAGTTCCTTGTCTTTAGGCAAGGAACTTAAATATTTAGGCAAAGACTAAACATCCACTTGTTGGAGATGATGTACAGGGAATTCACAACAGAGTTGGACTAGATGACCTCTAAAGCATCTTTCAACTCTGAAAATCAATCAAAAACTTCAAGACAGTATTTCTTACAATCTGAGAAATAACTTTTCACCACTATTACAGAAAAGCTAAAATCTTAAGTATTTTTGTTTTTGGCTTTGTCAGTCCAATATCTTGTGTAAGTTCTAAAAAATAAATTTTTTGTTGTTTGATAATGTTTTCTGAAAGGGAGAGAGTACTTGGTTTACTTGTACAGAAAAGCACAGGCTCTAATTTCTTAGCCCTATTTTTCCTTCTGTGGGTCCAGTTACACTCTTGGTTAGTATGAAAATGCAGTTTTACTACGGTAAAAATTCAAACACATGTTCCCAGCTATTCATCCCTTTACTTTCTGCCACCTTGTGCCTGAATTGGGCTATACAATGGGGCTAATCTATGGATTTAGATCTTAAAGCTTTAACTACATTTCAGAAATGTGCTTATAATTTTCATTGATATTTAAAGTATGTTGATTTCTGTCTCCTTTTCTGCTCAATTCTAAAAATAAAGAGACACTGGTCCATATACAATTTTAAAAATTAAATCCAGAAATGTTTGATTAAAAGAAACTGCCATTTTTGGCATAAAAATACAACCAGAGTATTTTCAGACAGGACTGCTGGGAGTTCAACTTAATCCTTAAATATGGCACTGGTCCTACCAAGTGGTACCTGGAAGAGGTGTGGAGGTACTTGATCTCTTTTAACCATATGTACTTTTTCTCCCGCCCCCTCTCTGTGCCTCCCCTACCACCCCACAAGCCCGCTTTTCCTCCTTCTGTTCCTTTCACTTTCCTCCTGAGAGTGCCCATGATCTTTTAGTATTACCAGTAATGGCACTAAAGCCAAAACAGCTGCCAACCGCTGGCCTAGAAATACAATGGATATAATTTGAATTAGAGACTACCATTAACTTTTTGGTTGTCCTTAGAAAACAACTTTATATTCTGTTTCAGTGGTCCAATCCAAAGGACAGAAAAAAAAATAACCACTGTAGAAAGTAAATCTATGTAAAAAAGAAATCTGTAGTGCTTTTTATCTCTAGCAATCTAACGTAGATTATACATACAAAGTTTATAATAACGATTTGCACATACAGGTCTCTGAATGACCAAACAAGGATAGAGGAGGACCAGAGATGATGTTTGACACCATCTGAAGTTTAGGGTCATGTTAGTTATTAAACTGTGTTATTTTTAAAAAATAATAAGGCTTAGAGTAGAGAGGAGAAAAGAATCAAGGCTAGAACTAGAATAAAAGGACTTCATTATTAGGTATTACAGTCTTGGGAAATGTTTAAGAGTTCCATAAAACCCTATGGGAAAGGTAAATAATCATGTTCCTACCACAATCCCCTCCCTCAAGTCAGGTGCTCTTGAAGCTGTGCTTTGATGCAGCATTCTCTTTATACAACAACCTCGGTGGTTCTAGGCTTCATCAAAGAAAAGGATTTTAGTGGATTTACTTTTCTCTTTATCTCTCTGGCTGATGGTATCTTTACTTTTTCTGTTTAATTTCACAAAATGGAAGCAAGAGACAATTTATCACCAGCACTGCACTCCAGGTTGGGAGTGAGAAGCACAGAAGAGGTGCTTCCAAGAGGCTACTAGAGGCAACAGAAACACTTTCTTACAAAAGCTCAGAGTGCTAAAGCTGGATAAACATAAATAGACAGCAAATAAAAGTTCATTGCTCCTGTCCAGCATCACGGCAACAATTCCGGTTCCTGTGGCCCCCTAATATGCTTCGTGTCTTACATCACTATGTGATAATACCCGCCTGAGGCTTCTCGGCCTGAAACACTCCTCCTCACCCTTCAAGTCTAAGCTCAAACACTCACACATCCTTGGAAAGCTTCTCTCACTATCCCAAGTAGGTGCCCCTCTCCCTTAGGTGTGCCTCTCACTGCTCTTTCATGACAGCTGCTATGCCTGATTGCAGCTATTTCTACCCCTGTGAATGTAGCTCTCCAGTCACCTGCCCAGCTTCTGAGGGAGCACCATGTCTTTCCCTTTCCATATCTCCTGGCACACGGTATGTACTTTATGTACAATTCACAGTGAAAGAACTGCCTAGGTTCTTTCACTAGAGAGACCCATCCATGCAAGTCTCTCCTTCCCAATCTCACCTAGTTTAGAACTTCATTATTATCACCTAGATTATTTGTCTCTTCACTGGTCTTCCCATTTCTGGACTCTCTTTCCTTGAATTCACTCCATATACACTACTGCCACTTACAACTCTAAGTAATTAATGTACCAAGTTGAACAGGTGGTGAAGTAGAGAATGAAAAGCTGGAAAACATCAATTCTCTAAGTTCAAAGGGTTCAAATCCAACAGAGCAGAAAGAGAAGTAGATAATTAACAGAACTTACCAGGTGCTGTACAGATACACCCAATTTATGCTAATCCCTCTGCGTGGCATGTCCTTCACTCTGAAATGCTCAATTCATATTTCACTTCATATAGGAAGCTTTCCTAATCTCTACAGCCAGAAGCAATCTCTCTTTCCTCTGCTCCCACAGTACCCTGTTACTCCGTTGTCACTTTCTGTTTGAATTACAGTCATTTGTACCCATACATTATACCTCTTACTGGACTGAACTTTTCTAAATGGAGGGCCAAACATCTATTTGTCTCTATTTTGCCATGGTACCTAACACAGTGCCCTGCAAATAGCTGATAAATAATGAATTATGATGATTAACCTCACTAAAATATTATGAGTCTGTGATTCCTTTAGGATTTGCCAGTATCAAGAATATCAATGGGTCATATACATGCAATTCAGTACTAAAATTTTCCACTCTAGCCACAAAAATAGAAAAAGTCTATTCTGTTTGTCTAGATAAGAGTCGACATATGGAGAACATCCTCAACCAGATCTGAAAATGTTCAAATGAAATGGATCGCTGTTGTGAAAAACACAACAAAGGGCAACTCCCTAGTACTACAATAAACTGAGCAACCAGCCTCTGCTGCCAAATACAGAAAAGTCGTAAGGGGCAAACACGGTGTGGTATTTCCACAATGGGAGCAGGTCAGTGGGTAGACACTTAACTAAGTAAAAATGAACACTGCTAGTAAAAATTAATTTAATAAAACAGACACTAGTACAAGATAGTATGTCAAAAATGGATCATTGAATAAGCTGTCTGAGCTCTCAAACATTATCACTTTCCAGAAGTGAATACTACTTGCAGCTTATCCATTCTTTTAAGGATCATATTCAATTTTCTACAAAAGTGCTTTTGTAGGCCGGGCATGGTGGCTCATGCCTGTAATCCCAGCACTTTGGGAGGCCGAGGCAGGCGGATCACGAGGTCAGGAGATTGAGACCATCCTGGCTAACACGGTGAAACCCCATCTCTACTAAAAATACAAAAAATTAGCCAGGTGTGGTGGCAGGCACCTGTAGTCCCAGCTACTCGGGAGGCTGAGGCAGGAGAATGGCGTGAACCCGGGAGGCAGAGCTTGCAGTGAGCTGAGATCGCGCCACTGCACTCCAGCCTGGGTGACACAGCGAGACTCCGTCTCAAAAAAAAAAGTGCTACTGTAAGATACCTCAGCAAGCCCTTGTTAGGATTCCCAATTCCTTAATTTCACTGTTTATGTCTGTCCTCCCTTCACCCTATTCCTTTATCATAATTGTTTTAGTTAGAATGTAAGCAATTGAGTGCACAATGAGATAGACAATAACTTAAGAATTAAGGACTTTAACATTTCATGATTTAAAATGCAGAACTAAAATTCCAGGTTCTCAATTCTCACAAAACAAAACAAAGCTCAAGGCTTAAAACTTTAGAAAATGCCATGCTATAATGATATTTACCCACTCCTAATTGGCTTAAATGAAGTCAGAACATTTGATTATATCATTTATTTCAGCACTGTAATTGCTAAGGGCAAAAACCTTGTCTCATCAACTAATTTTGTAGAGGCCTTAGTGAACGATTTGCTTGTAGCAGCTTTTACTCTACAAGGAAGACCAGTGTGTTAAATAAAGTGTTTATATTAGAGTCGAAAGACCTAAGTTTAAATTCAGGCTCTGTCTCTTATTTTGAGATCTCAGACAAGTCACTTTAATCTGAGTTCCTCTCTTTACCTGAAAATAGGTGTAATAGCCATAACCCTCACTGCCTAGACCACATGACTGCTATGAGGATTAAGTAAGGAAATGTGTAAAAACGCTTCATAAAACTATAAAGTGTAATACAAATATAAGGGCTCCTGGTATTATTCTTAAAATAAGTGCTAAGAGTAAATCCCTGTCTATAAGAAATCAGAATACAATTGAATTATTTCTGCATACTTTTCCCAAGAGAATTTATGTCTGACATGCAAAACTGTAAATAACTCCTAAAGGGGAAATTACCAAAAAAGGAAGGGAAAAAAGAGAAGAAAGAAAACTTGGGGTGGGACTAGAAGAGGGAGGTAAATTAAAGAGAAAAGGAGAAGTTTTTGTAGTAAAATAATGCAATGTAAGAGAGAGCAAACCTGATCTGAAGAAGCAATTTCTTTTTTTTTTTTTTTTTTTTGAGACAGAGTCTCACTGTCACCCAGGCTGGGCTACAGTGAAGTGGTCTCAGCTCACTGCAAGCTCCACCTCCCGGGTTGACGCCATTCTCCTGCCTCAGCCTCCTGAGCAGCTGGGACTACAGGTGCCCGCCACCACGCCCGGCTATTTTTTTTATTTTTAGTAGAGACGAGGTTTGGCCATGTTAGCCAGGATGGTCTCAATCTCCTGACCTCGTGATCTGCCCACCTCGGCCTCCCAAAGTGCTGGGATTACAGGCGTGAGTCACCGCGCCCGGCCTGAAGGAGCAATTTCTAACTCTACCACTTACTATCTACCTGTGTGTCCCTGGGCAAGTCACTTCACCTCTCTAAGCTCCAATTTCCTCATTTGTAGGTAGAGATAATAACTCACAAGATTGCTATAAGGATTAAATGAGATAATATATATAAAGTACTTAGCACTATGTCTGGTGCATAGTAAGGGATAAGTGGTTACTGGCATTGATAAAATTATCAGACCTGTGCCCTAATGGGTGACATTCAGAAAGAAAAAGGAATCAAGAACATTTAAGAGGGAAAGATGATGTTCAGGGAGCTAAATCTATATATTACCACTGGGAGACAAACTTTGAGAAATATAAATTACACAAAGTATGCTTCATATTAAATGTTCAGATTACTTACTGTGTCTCTTGAATTGGTGAGGAATCAAGAGAAATGCAGTCAAAATCTCCAGATCATAAAAGCAGAATAGCAATAACCGTATTCATAAAAGCAGAATAGCAATAACCGTATTCATAAAAGCAGAATAGCAATGGGAGAACTTGGCCCCCTGAAAAGTAGGCATTAATGTGTGCAGAAGCTTCTCTGTCCCAAACTCAATTTTCTAAACTTTCACAGACAGAATGAAAGCTAGACTCCATAGCAAAGGTACAGCAACCCCGAATGCCTGGGTTAGCTATCATGCCCTCATGTTAGTTTCTGCCATCTTGTTCTTTATTCTGGGTGTATCTGTAGCTGATTTGAGGTGTTAAACATTATTAACTCCACCCTATTCAGGAACTGCAAAAGCAGTAAAAGTGTCCCAGGAATCAGGAAAACGAGGAATAAAATCTCCTGAATCAGCTGGAGAGATAGTAAATAACTCAAAGAGGTAAGAAAACAATGGATGCTATCTGTGCATACGGGATCAGAGATTTATCTATTATAACATGTAGAAATTCTATACCTGTGGAATCAACGAGAATCAGCAAAAGGCAAGGAAAACAGGAAGCCTTCTGTATAAATGGCCAGAGAATCAACAATTTGGGTTACCAACTGATCTGGTGTTAATTAAGGGGAAGGTAAAGAGCTTGTTAAGAATTTAAAAGCTAAGCATAGGCCAGGCGCAGTGGCTCACGCCTGTAATCCCAGCACTTTGGGAGGCCGAGGCGGGCGGATCACCTGAGGTCGGGAGTTCGAGACCAGCCTGACCAACATGGTGAAACCCCATCTCTACTAAAAATACAAAACTTAGCCAGGCATGGTGGTGCGTGCCTGTAATCCCAGATATTTGGGAGGCTGAGGCAAGAGAATCACTTGAACCCAGGAGGCGGGGGTTGCAGTGAACCAAAATCATGCATTGCGCTCCAGCCTTGGCAACAAGAGTGAAACTCTGTCTCAAAAATAAATAAATAAATAAATAAAAGCTAAGCATAGTAGAAGTGTTATCACATACCACAGACAATTGCCAAGGCTCCAGGCCTGTTTGGAATTTATACAATATGACTGTGAATGATCAGGTCACCACATGACCTGTAACTGTTAAGGTCTTCCCTAAGATCTGTGCAGAGCTCATCTAAGAGGCAGGCTACCTGCCTCAGCAGACGTTCAATGCAGATAAGCTGTTCCTGGTGGGAAAAGATGCCCCCAAAACTTGAATCAGCAAGGAGGTAACAGTATGACTGGTTTTCTTTTGATAGACCTACTCACACACCTTTTTACTAAGACAATCTTCCCAAACCACCTGTACTTAGAAGAACTTGGAAACTTTTTATAACAAAGCGAAGTCCACATCTAAGTATCTCCATGAAATGATGGGCTAAAGATCTGCCAATCAGGGCATGGTAAATGGAAATGATATACCATCACTATTAATTTAAGGTATGTTTCAAAAAAAAACTTTTTAAAATTTGTTTTGCCATCTCTGTCTTATTTCAATAATATAAACACACGTGCTTTAAATCCTGGCTTTAGTTCTGCTACTCTTCCCATTAGGTTTTAAGCTCATCAACCATCAACTGTCCTAGTATAGGTGTCTTCTAGAACCTACCCCATTGAGTCAAGTGGAGAATACTTATATTCGTTCACAGAGACTATGACTCTGGAGCTGTACTTAAACTATGAGTACGGTCAACTGCAGGCACTGACAAAGAAGCTGAAGAGTCTGGATCCTGCTGGACAGTTAGGAAAAGGCAGGCAATACCTCTCCCACCGCTCACCTGCTGTATTCCCTGCCTAGGTATACTTTTTTTCTAACCTTTAAATCCAATTGAATTTGTGATTCCAATTCTTAAACAATAACAAATGTGGACTATTCCTGAAACTTCATAAATAAAATCAGGTGGACATTTACAGTACTGAGTAGGCCTATACAAGACACTGTGCACTTCTATAGCACCCTTTATTTCACAAACCCAAAGAACTGTCAAAGTTGCCCCAACATAAAGTATCAGTGATGGAACTTCTCTCATTTTTACATGTACAACACTCTATTCACCCTGTTTCTGCCATTATAAGCATAGCTATTCATGAAAATAAACTAAAAGGGCTGAGACCAACATTCAATCATTAACTAAATTTCAACTTCATAATTCAACCCAAAAACTATCCAGTGCCAAGTGGTTTAAAAAATTATAGAACAGGGCTGGGCACATTGGCTCACACCTGTAATCCCAACATTTGGGAGGCCAAGGCAGGAGGATCACTTGAGCCAAGGAGTTCGAGACCAGGCTGGGCAACATAGTGAAACCCTGTCTCTACAAAAAATTTAAAAATCAGTCGGGCGTGCTTGTGCACACCTGTAGTCCGAGCTACTCAGGAGGCTGAGGTGGGAGGATCGCTTGAGCCTGAGAGGCAGAGGTTGCAATGAGCCATGATTGCACTACTGCACTCCAGCCTAAAAGACAGACTTAAACTCTGTCAAAAAAAAAAAAAAAAAAAATTACAGAACAAAGCCAAACACAGTGGCTCAGGCCTATAGTTCCTGCAACTTAGGAGGCAAGAAGATCATCTGAGCCCAGAAGTTCGAGTCCAGGCTGGGCAAGACAGTGAGGTTCTTTCTTTAAAAAAAATAAATTACAGGACAAAATATACAAAGACGCAAACATTCCATTAAGCAAAAGAGTTAATATGGAATAACTTCTCACTTCTAAGTTCTTATGAGTACTTATAGGTAATAAGTCAAAATTATTAAAAAGTCCCACTCAATAGTTATATTTAATCTGCACCAAGAATAACTTCCAAAAATGGATTAAAATAACATGTCAAAAATAACTCATTTACTTGGGTGTTATTTTGGAACTCTTTCTAGAAAACTGACCCCAAAATTTAGATGTCAGAAGAATGTATTTCCCAAGTCAAGTTTTTGAAACTACAGATCTGAGGAAGACCATCATGAACAGGAGAGAAAATATGGATTGCAGTTAAGCATGCCATATGGGTACAAGCCAGAATGCCTGGGTCAGAATCCTGGTCCTACCACTCAATAGCTATCTAACCTTAGTACCACAGTTACTTCATCTGCAAAACGGGAATAATAAAAATACCTACTCCATACAGTTGTTGTGAGGATTAAAGCCAGGCAAGTAAGTAATATATGTAAAGGATTTAGCAGGAAGCAGCATTATATAAAGTATTTACTTATCATCATTATCATATGACTAGATCACTTAAATCATCCACAGAAACGCCTTTTCCTATTTCAGTCTTCCTTAATTGGTCTAGCAGCACTTAATCCCTCCCTCCTTGGCTTCCTCATAAAACACATTTTCTATGGTATTTATTTGGGTAGGTATATTTCTCTCCCACTGGATCACATCTCCTTGAAGACAGCAACCACAGTTCGTCCGAGTGTACAGAGTAGCAACCACAGTTCGTCCGAGTGTACAGAGCAGCAAACACTGTTCACTGTTGCCTTTCATTTCTCTCCCTCTAAAGATTCTGAACAATAATACCCTGTCAATTAGCAAACTTTTACCTGGAGACAGAAGGCTTATGCAACCAGTGCACTTAAGTACTGGTCATACCTTGCTAAAGACTTTCTTAAGACTTAAACAAAAATTTTGGGGGGAAGAAGAGGAGGATATGCTTCATGTTTATAAACTAACCAAAGACAGATTTTTAATTTTTTAAAAAAGTTATGTCTTAAAAGCTTGCTTTCATTATTTCATTCAAAAAGACCATGGTGCTTTTAATATAAAAATACAGAAGCATAATTTCTGCATATGTCAAGTCTAACCTAATCATAACTTGCCAATCTGCTGATTTTAATGTAATCCTAAGGATGCTAGACAACAATATGCTTGCTTGATTCACCTGACACTATTTACATAAAATAAAAGCATTTTAACAATACATCGAGATGCAAATCTTTCTGGCTCTGATTTGTGCCCTTTCTCCCTCTTAACAAAAAGTGCCACACACACACAAAAGAGCCTCCAACTTATCCTGGATCACTGGGGAGGCACTTTCTAAGGTGCGTTATCCAATTTCACTAACACAATGATGCTCTCCTTACTTTAAGAGAACAGAACTTTTCTGAAAGCAAACAGCTGAACTGAGTCCATTGCTTTGTTATCATTTTTTAGGAAGTCCAATTTCTCCTTTGTTCTTACAGTGTCCTACCTTTAGAAATCAAGTTTTCAGCATAAAAACTAACAAGGACATCTATTTGTTGGCACAAATCATCTCAGTCTCCATTCTTTGACTTATTTTAAAACAAACTCAAGAGCAAATGGCTAGAGAAAAACTGCTTCTATTTAATGTGTGTTTTCTAAGTCTAATTTTTTCATTCCTAGTGGCAAGGCCTTTCAAAAGAGTACAAAAACTACACCCAACTTTGCTTCTCATTCTAAACACATCACAACCAAATGGGAAACATTATCAGCCATCTTAACAAGGAGAAAACAAAGCTAAGTGAGGTCAAACCAAAACATTTTTTAATTCATTGTACCTACCTATTTTGAGATCAGGATTTTTCAGATGGAAGTAGTTTGATGAACTTATGCAATAAAATTATGTAATATCATAATTTAACATAATATTTTAGACTAACTTCTCTCTCCTCAAATAGTCACAAGGGTGGCTAATTCACATACAATACCTCTCAGCCACTGGGGAGAGAGTATAATAAACTTAATTGTTTTACATATCCTGAGGCACAGAGAGAAAGGCCAATCAAATTCAAAGAGGTTTACAGTACCTTATATACATATATGATTGAGACAAAGAACTTTCAAGAATCTGTACTGAGGAAGCAAAAATGGGCTTAAGTACAATAGGCCCTGCCTTAAAGTAGAGAGACCGGTCAAACGTAAGCCCCAGCGCCAAAAAAGACAAGGTCTCACTCATCAATCCCCATCTTACAATCAAGAGGCAGAACTTAAATCACTTAAAGCTGTTTTTTCAGATTTGAGCAGTAAAATAAGCTAATAGGCCATTTCCGATTAAGTGGCTTCTCTCAAAACTTATCACAAGTTATGTGAAATGGGTAAAAGTGTTGGTTCTGCATTTTATCAAGTGAGAAACAATAGCATCCTACTTTTGGACAAGCCACTACTTCCAGAGCCACTAGCCCTCCCCCCACCTCCCACTTCTTTTTATATCATTCCTCCAAACTTAGAACCCGAAAAGCTATTCCACAAAACAAAAGCAGCACCAGTAAAAGGGGAGGCCACTGGTTTTGAAAATAAAGTTTGTTCTTTTGCTGTCAACCTGGCAACTTTTTAAAGGTGAAACGTGCCCTACTCAATCGGTTATACTCTTTTCTACTCCCACACCAAATAACCACTCGTTCGACCTCGATACTAAAGGTGAAAAAAGGAGTGGGAGAAATGATTTTGAAAGGAAGGGGCTACGGGTGCAATGGTAAAGACAGATTCTAAGACTGGTTTTGAGCACTCCGTGGCTTCTAGGAGCTGGGAGGCTTTCCTGAGTCTGTCTTGAGAAATGTTTGGCAATCTGACGCATCAGTTTTTAGGAACGGTACACAAACAGCCCCCACAATTGAAGAGCCATGCTTCGGATCCTGGCTCTGGGTGACATCGGCTGGAGGGCACGGGACGGGAGCGCTGGGGCTACCCGGAGAGGATCCGCGACATTTGTTATTGTTTGTGAAGCCCAGGCGGGGACCCGGAGCGGAGTGCTCGGGGGCCGGGGAGTGGAAGGAGAAAGGAGCAGAGGACAAAGATTCCTCCCCGGGTGCGAGGCTCCCTCTCTGGACACATGGGGCCAGTATCACCCCGGGGAATAAGAGGGCCAAGGCCGTCGCCGCAGGTTCCCCGGAGACATTTCCAGCCCCAGAATTAGCCCGGCTTTCCCTGGACACCCAAAGACACCTAAAATCTCCTCCTGCTCCTGCTCGCAGAGTTGGGGCTGGCGCGGCGAGCTCGGGCCCTCAGCCGAGCGCTACATCCGCGAACTCACCTGCCTCCGGTCGCGCCCGCGGCCGGCTCAGCCTCCGCACGGACCGCAGCCGGCCGGGCGCCCGTCAGCTCCCTTCTCCCCGCTCCGCCCTCGCCCCGCCCCCGGGAGGTGGGACCCGCGGCCTCGCCGGAATCTCAGGGCGGCCTCCCTGAACTCTCGCGAGCCTTGCCTCCTCGGCTTCTCGGTGGCTGGGTCGGTCCGACTCGCCCTGACGTCATACGCACCACAGCCGGAAGTAGCCTTCTGTCGTCAACGCCCGTCTTCCCGGCCCCACCCATCTCCGCCTGGTGAAGGCCAGACTGGTTTTGAGGGAGTTGACTGAACTGTCGCCACTTCCCCTCTCACCAGCCTCACCTCACTGCCGTTTTTACGCCAAACCTGTTCAGGCCTCTCTTGAGAGTGGCCTAATGTGTTGCGACATTAGTCACATTCTAAATGTCATCCGAATTTTTCAAACAGTGCAATGCAAAGAATGTTAGAAATGGAAAGAGAGAATTCACGCATTTTTCAGATTGGGAAACAGTTGTCAACAAAGATGGATCAGCTAAGTTGCTCAGTCGGTAGCTGTGGGGACTCGAAGCCACCCAGGTTCCTTGACGCTTCCATTTCACCATGAGGGGACTCCAGAGACTGGAGAGGAACCAGGATTTGTAAATGCCACAAAAAATACATTAAAAACCTGTTTGAGTTTTCTTGGAAAATCTAAAATAACTACAGTACTGGCCTGCTTTATCAGTAGGATCTGAGAATTGTGCAGAAGAGCACTCCCCTATAGGATGACCCAAAAGGGACAACTTTGGGAAGGTTGATGCAATTTGCGTCTGGGGACAAAACTGGCCTTTGGGAAAGCCAAATGAGAGAATGACTCCCAATTATTGTTGGCAAGTTTATCCTCAATATGAGTATTGGAGGTCTTATAAAATATTCTTAGCTTTTAGCTTACTGAGACAACGTATGAAGCTGGTACTGTGCTTGCAAAAACTATCACTTAGAAATGCCACCTGTCATCTTTAGGTTTCCCAAGAGCAGGTGACACGAGCAAAACACCTAGGAAAGAAGCATTACCTCATTTCTCTTTCTTACACTGTGCTTTTTCATACATAGCTTAGTAGTGGGAAAAGCTCTAGTTTGGTAATTAGTGTATTTTTGGGGAGATCAGCTCCACTTATATGGTCATTTTGAAACTCAAATGACAGTTGTCATATACAAGCATAGGAGGTTTAATTGTGATCAGACAAGCTTGACAGGCCTATACACCCTTCTCCCTGTACTGCACGCATACACATACCATTCAAATGCTACGATAAGATTGAGAACAGTGTATGGTTTGTTCCACAGCAAATTTATGTCTTCAAATGTGCCATACTAGAGTAATATGAACTAGTATAGAGTAGCAGTCTAGGTTAATATGGGATAGCCTAAGACTTTGACCTCTAGTTCCTAAATTCTCCTAAATTGAGACCATTGTAAACAAATTTCCCTGGGAAGTTGTTGAAAGTACCTCAACTGAAACAAATTAGAGCTATGAACCAGAATTTTGGTGGTCTATGGACCCCTTTTCAAAACAGTGTTCTTAAATGCATAAACTACCTAGGGTTACAAAGGAAATTGATAATGTTAACATACAGTTACCAAAATACTAAAAAGTGAGTTTGTAATATAATTATGTGGTAAGTAGTAGTAGCATCTAAGATGGCTGCCAATGATCCACGCCTTCTAGTATTCCTGCCTTCTGTAATTCCCTTCTCTAGTAACTTAGTTCTTAAAAAGGAAATATAGCAAAAGTGATTAGGATATCATTTCCGTGATTAGGTTACAAAAATATTCTGGGCTCCATCTTGCTTGTCCTTGCTCTCTCACTTGCTCGCTTTCATGGAAGCCAGCTGCTGTCTTGTGACCTGCCTTACAGAGAAGCCCACATGGCAAGGAACTGAGAGAGATCCAGTCAACAGCCACCAAGGAATTCAGGCCCCCAGTCCAACAACCTGTGATGAACTGAATACTGCCAATAATCATGTAAGTAAGCTTGGAAGTAGATTCTTTCCCAGTTGAGCCTTGAGATGACTGCAGCCCCACCTGACACCTAGACTGCAGCCTTGTAAAACCAGATACTGAGCCAGCAGGCCCAACTAGCCAAGCCCAGATTTCTGGCCCACAGAAACTGTGAGACAATAAATATTTGTGGTTTTAAGCCACTAACTTTTGGGATACTATGTTACACTGCCATAGATAACTAAAATAGTTATATATTTGCCTCTTTATTAATGCATTAAATAATAAGATCAAGACCTACAGTAATTTTGTAGTAATGATACACAGAAACAATATTTTGAGATATCTACAACAACTTTAATGGGGTAGAAAATATGTGTGATTCCTATTGAGGAAAAGTCACAGGTATTGCTAATATTCCTGTGGTTTGCTGCCTACATTCATGATGGAAGAAATGCTAATTTTCAGTTTGAGTTTAGTGAAAAAATTACATAATATGTAATATATATAACTATATAACTATACATAGTCATATATGTAATATATAACTATATGACTATACATAGTCATATATGTAATATATATAACTATATGACTATACATAGTCATATATGTAATATATATAACTATACATAGTCATATATGTAATATATATAACTATACAGAGTCATATATGTAATATATATAACTATACAGAGTCATATATGTAATATATATAACTATACAGAGTCATATATGTAATATATATAACTATACAGAGTCATATATGTAATATATAACTATACAGAGTCATATATGTAATATATATAACTATACAGAGTCATATATGTAATATATATAACTATACAGAGTCATATATGTAATATATATAACTATACAGAGTCATATATGTAATATATATAACTATACAGAGTCATATATGTAATATATATAACTATACAGAGTCATATATGTAATATATATAACTATACAGAGTCATATATGTAATATATATAACTATACAGAGTCATATATGTAATATATAACTATACAGAGTCATATATGTAATATATATAACTATACAGAGTCATATATGTAATATATATAACTATACAGAGTCATATATGTAATATATATAACTATACAGAGTCATATATGTAATATATATAACTATACAGAGTCATATATGTAATATATATAACTATACAGAGTCATATATGTAATATATATAACTATACAGAGTCATATATGTAATATATATAACTATACAGAGTCATATATGTAATATATATAACTATACAGAGTCATATATGTAATATATATAACTATACATAGTCATATATGTAATATATATAACTATACAGTCATATATGTAATATATATAACTATACATAGTCATATATGTAATATATATAACTATACATAGTCATATATGTAATATATATAACTATACATAGTCATATATGTAATATATATAACTATACAACTATACATAGTGATATATGTAATATATATAACTATACAACTATACATAGTGATATATGTAATATATATAACTATACAACTATACATAGTCATATATGTAATATATATAACTATACAACTATACATAGTCATATATGTAATATATATAACTATACAACTATACATAGTCATATATGTAATATATATAACTATACAACTATACATAGTCATATATGTAATATATATAACTATACAACTATACATAGTCATATATGTAATATATATAACTATACAACTATACATAGTCATATATGTAATATATATAACTATACAACTATACATAGTCATATATGTAATATATATAACTATACAACTATACATAGTCATATATGTAATATATATAACTATACAACTATACATAGTCATATATGTAATATATATAACTATACAACTATACATAGTCATATATGTAATATATATAACTATATAACTATACATAGTTATATATGTAATATATATATGGTTTTTGCATTGAGGTTCACAGACCCAGGTTAAGAACCATTGACCTAAGTAATAGATCATTTGAAGGAACTTCCAAAACTCTTATCACCAACTATCTGATACAGAATCAAAGTTCAGGTAATAAACATACACTGTGGCCACTACTAACCTTATTAGACTATAGCTGAATATGACTTTGTATCCCCTTCCTCCACATATTCCCTCTTCTTCAAGTTTATGCTAAATGTAGGCAGACAGGCTAAAATTGTAGGCCAGAAAGGATGAGAAAAATCATGATGAAAACCTTTTCAGCACTCAATTTATCTGATTTTTGTTTTTGCCATGTGAAAGTGGTAGCTCCTTGATCGGAAGAACTCTTTGATATTACTTTTACTCTCTTAGGCCTACCACATAGTAAATAAAGAATGAATGCCAAATGGCAGTAGTAAATAATAATAGAAGGAAAGCTATTGATAAAACCCTTCTACCAAATGAATAAAGCAACTTTTCCATCTATGCAATTTTGCAACTGTGAGATATACCCAAAGCAGTATTTAGAGGGCTAATTTATTGTTTTAAATGCACTTCACAGAAAACACAAAAATGAAAACAAATGAACAAAGCTTTCAACTCAGGAAACCTGAAAGAGAAAACAAAATAAATTCAAAGGAAGAAGAAGGATATAAAACTTAGAGCAGAAGCCCCTCCATGACCCTTATGTCCACCAAGGAATGTAAATCAAATATATAATCATTCCCATATATACCTCTGTTTTTCAAATGTATGTAAATTCTGTTATGATTAATAATTTCAAATATAATTTTAAACATAAAGGCAGAAATTAAATTAGTTAATTTAGAAATTAATTTTTTTGAAAAAAAAAATGACTGAAATTGACAATAACCAAAAACTGATTCTTTGGAAAAGTAAAGGAAATAGGAAACAGCTTGACAAGATTAATCCAGGGAAAACAAAAAGACACAAACAGTAACAATGATAATGGAGATGCAACTACAGATACGGAGATTTTAAAGAGCATAAAAGTTTATGATATGCAGTGTTACGCCAATAGATTTAAAAAGGAGAGAGAATAGGTGCTTTTTAGTTCTCCTGGAAGTCTGTCCTGATGAAAACCTAGTAAGGTTTTTACCTTGGAAAAAAATTGAAAGTTTACAAGATTTTTTAAAAAACTGAATGGGCCTTTCCAGTTTGAGACTAAGAGTGCTTGACTCCTGGCTCCTCTTCTCATAGCCATGACTTTCAAAAGGACTCTAACGGAGACCAGACAACTAAGTATAGTTGAGTTTGTTTGAAAATGAAGACTCTATTTTACAAGCTGCATGGGACTTTCACTGGGCCATTTAATCATCCACGACAGTCCATTCAGAGCTATCACCAGACTGTCTTCTGCAAATTACTTTATAAACCTGGAAACAGTGACTTCTAATTGATCCCTGCTTTATTTTTTAACTGACTTGACTAGACTGAAAAAAGGCTGAATCACATTAGAGATTTTTTAGCATAATTTTTCTTGATATTATGGATTGACATCCCTCAGTTCACAATTGACATTACATCACAATCATATAGAGGGTCGCTCTTGAAAAAGTATGTTTCCGAAGATCATTTGATATTCGTGGTTTTCTAAATTCTAAACCATTACTTGCAACAGTTTCCACTATGTTAAAACAGTTGAACTTCCTTTTTAGTTATCTCCTCCCACTAGAGAATGTGAACTTCAGGGCAAACTACTAGAAGTGACTCAAAGGCAATGCACACTTTACATTTCCAAGCCTGTTACCAAACTACCATCCAGAGGTTACACCAGTTTCCACGCTACCAGCAGGCAGTACAAGAAAATTCCCATTTCCCCACATGCTTGCTCACACTGGGTTTTGTTTATATTTTTAATCTAGGCAGTGAAAGAAAGTCTAAGACCTTGACAGGAAAGCCACTTCACAGGCATGCAATCTATGTTCCTCTTCTTCGTTTCAGCTCTGGGGTTAAGGTTGGGGATAAGGCTATGTAGGGAAGTAAGTTACAAAACCTGTGGCTTGTTTAAATGTAGCGAATTCTAGTAGAGTCTGGGGCAGGCAAGATCATTCTTGGTGTTAGCTGGTGCTGTGTTGATAATTTTGGTTGAATTATTTTATGAAGCTACAGAGAGGGATTGTGGGGGAGAAGTTACTGGATGTGCTTCTCATTCATTCTGCTATACTCTACAACCTCCCCAGGAATCAGGTGGTTGCTTTCAGCGGGTTAGCTTCATGCATTTTATGCTGATTTGATTTCCTGGAGAAAATAACCCAAATAGGGCTTTCAAGGAATTTTTTTTTTTATCTGATTAGACAACACAGGGCCTTGTGGAGAAGGTTAAGAAATTGTTGTTGTTGTTGTTGCTATAGAGACAAGATCTGACCATGTTACCCAGGCTGGAGTGCTGTGGCTGTTCACAGGTGTGATTATGGCATACTGCAGGCTCAAACTCCTGGGCTTAAGTGATCCTCCTGCCTCAGCATCCCGAGTAGCTGAGACTCCAGGTGTGTGCCACCATGCCCAGCTAAGATTTATCTTCATATAATAGCAATAGAAAGCTGTTGCAGAGCTCTGGGCAGAGGCGTTTTATTTACAAGTATTAAGTTGTATATTGCAAGCTGTCTGGGGCAAGAGTAACTTGGCAAGCAGAAATGAATATCTGGTCTACTTGTGGTATGCCCTACCAGGGCTGAATGCTACAAAGGTTATCAGATAAATTGGATCAATTAAAATCAAATAAATCAATCATTGTATTCATCAAGTAAATTTCTGATTTGACTTCCCATGTAGATTTTCTTATGAGGTAAGAGTATGTCAATTAGCCAATAGAAATTTTTGATTTGCTTGGCAATTACATTTTTCATTATAAATTCCCACTCTCAAATTGCCACATGTTCTCCTCTCAGTTACACTACCCTTACTCCGTATTGGTTCCTCTGAGTTTGGTCACCTCTGACAAAGTTAAATTTCTGGACATGAAAAGCTAAGAATCAAGCTCTGACTATCCTAAGCAAT